>NC_000014.9:73248076-73399591 GCF_000001405.40 Homo sapiens | reverse complement strand
TTCTCTGGCATATTTTTTTTTCTTTTTTGAGACATAGTTTCTCTCTTGTCGCCCAGGCTGGAGTGCAATGGCACAATCTCGGCTCACTGCAGCCTCTGTGTCCTGGGTTCAAGCAATTCTCCTGCCTCAGCCTTCCAAGTAGCAGAGATTATAGGCATGCGCCACCACACCCGGCTAATTTTGTATTTTTAGTAGAGACAGGGTTTCTCCATTTTCGTCAGGCTGGTTTCTAACTCCGGACCTCAGGTGATCTGCCCGCCTCAGCCTCCCGAAGTGCCAGGATTATAGGCGTGAGCCGCTGTGCCCGGCTCTGGCATATTTTCAGTCCATAGCTGGTTGAACCCATGGATGTGGAGGGCCAACTATTTAATATGCTTAATGTAAGTAAGTGCTTATTTTTGAAATATTTTCATATTGTTTTGTGTGTATGTGTTTTTAATCCGTATAATGGTATTATGCTGTGAATCTATTTATTCTTTTTTGATCAAAAAAAGGAATTATGGAAGCGCATACTGTATTTGTAAATCTAGTTTACAACAACTGACTGTTGTATAATGTTCCATTGTATATGTATTTCCACATTTTACTTGTATGTTTCTCTAATAATTGATACCTAGGTGTGTTGAAAACTAAAACAAATAGTGCTGCTGTGTACATCCTTATGCATATATCCTATTGATATGTGCAAAGGTTACTCTAGTATATACCGAGAAAAGGAATTGCTGACTTGTGGCCCGTACACATACTTAATTTCACTAAATATTGCCAAGTTGTTTTTTAGAATGGCTACCCAGTTTATGCTCCCACCAGTAGTAAATTAGAATTCCCATTTCCTTAAATATTCACCAATATTTGGTCTTATCCATCTGTTTAGCCTTGTCAATCTGATGGGAATAAAGAAGTATATTGTTTTAATTTCTATTTCTGTGATTGATTGTGAGGTTGGGCATCTTTTCATTTACTTGTTACAATTTGGGTTTCCCCTGCTTGGTGACTAAAAAAAAAAAATACCCAAATAATATATATTTGCTGTAGATATTTTTGAAAATACAAATGGGCAAATATAAAAAGATCATCTATAATACCCTAATCCAGAGATAATTGCTATTAACCTTGGCTATATTTTTCTGGTCTTTAAACACACACACACACACACACACACACACACACACACACTCTCTCTCTCTCTCTCTCTCTCTGTGTGTGTCTCTCTCTCATATACAAATATGTAGTTTATTAATGGGATTATATACACAGTTTTCTTACATTTTTTCCTTTCACAATAATTTATGACCATTTCCCCATGTTGTTAGAAATTTTAAAATATCACCATTTAATAGGTGCATATTCCATTTTATAGCTTTAAATTATTTAATCTTCTATTGTGGGATATTTAAGCTATTTTTGATTTTTTTCCGTTAACAATTTGGTGAACTGTTAATCAGACCTACATTTTTATGTGGCAAAGCTAGTGGGATTATATTCCTGCTCTTTTTGTGAAACTGGGTTTTATAGCACATGCATTGCAGGCTGTCTTAGGCTATTTTCCGCTTGGATTCTAGGGCAGCTGTTAATGCTTCGTTTTGTAAACAGACACTTCTAGCCCTTGATGCTCCAGGGCTAGAGTTCAAAGACTTCTCAGCTGGGCCTTTACCATTCTTTCTTTTTCCACTTCATCAAGGCCAGGTTAACACAGAAGGAGAGTGCAGTAGTAGACTTGTTCTTAATGTTTAAATATCAATGTCTTCTTTAGAGGGGGTGCAAAACTTCCAACTATACAGAACTCTTAATCCAAACCTTTATAGACACATATATGAATGAATGTATGTGTGTGAATATTTAATGACCAGAAAGATATAGCCGATGCAAATAACTTCATTTTTAATTGTTAATAGATTTTTATTATAAAAGTGAGAATGCTCATAAAACAATTAAGAAAATACAGGAAGACATTAAGAAAATCCCTAAAATTCTTTTACCCAAAGATAACTGCTTAATTACCATTTTGCCTTATATCTTGTTAGATATTTTTCTAGTTAGTGTGCTTGGACCAGCTAGCACTATCTCACCAGAGCCAATAATTAAGAAGTTATGCAAGCCCAAATTGTTGGTAGCTTGATATTAGCAATGGTGGGATCAGCTACATCAGTGAATTTGGCAAATGCTACAAAGCAGGGCTTCTTTCTCCCCGCTGAATTCCTCCCCAGGCTGGCTTATCAGTACACCACTGCATGCATATATATCATATCAATGAATATAGATCTTCATTTTTAATGGTTTCATAGAAGTCCATTTTTTAGATCAATGATTCTCAGCATGGTCCTTGGACCAGAGATACCAGCATTACTTGGGAATTTGTTAGAAGTGCATATTCTTGGCCTCCACCCAGACCTACTGAATCGGAAACCTGGTTTGGGGGCCCAGGAATCTGTGGTTATTTTGTTTTGTTTTGTTTTGTTTTTTTGAGACGGCATATCACTCACTCTGTTGCCCAGGCTGGAGTGCAGTGGTGCGATTTCAGCTCACTGCAACCTCTGCCTCCCGGGTTCAAGTGTTTCTCCTGTCTTAGCCTCCTGAGCAGCTGGAATTACAGGTGTGCGCCACCATGCCTGGCTAATTTTTTGTATTTTTAGTAGAGACAGGGTTTCACCGTGTTGGCCAGACTGGTCTCAAACTCCTGACTTCAAGTGATCTGCCCAACTCAGCCTCCCAAAATGCTGGGATTACAGGCATGAGCCACTGCGCCAGCTGCTATCTATGGTTTTACAAACACTTTAGGTGATTCTGATACATGCTAAATTTTGAGAACCACTGGTATAGATATACCGTAAATTATCTGATTGGTCTGATGATTCTGTGTGAAATATTCCTCAATATATGTTCATTTTAAGGTCTTTAGTTGCATATTGCAAAACTGTATTCTAAAAAGGCTGGTGGCTCACACCTGTAATCCCAGCACTTTGAGAGGCTAAGACAGGAGTATCAGTTGAGCTCAGGAGTTTGAGACCAGCCCAGGTAACATAGCAAGGCCTCGTTTCTCCAAAACAAAAAAACAACAAAAAAAATACACAAAAAAACTAGCCAGGCCTTGTGGTATGGGCCTGTAGTCCCAGCTGCTCTGGAGGCTGAGGTGGGAAGATCCCTTGAGCCCAGGAGTATGAGGTTCCAGTGAGTTATGATTGTGCCACTGTACTCCAGCTCGGGCCACAGAGCAAGACCTTGTTGCTTAAACACACACACACACACACACACACACACACACACACACACCCCTAATAATTAAAGTAAATAGATAGATTAGATAGATGGATAGATGGGTAGATGGATGGATAGAGGGGCAGGCTGGCTAGGTATGGTAGCTCATGCCTGTAATCTCAGCACTTTGGGAGACTGAGGCAGGAGGATCACTTGAGCCCAGGAGTTTGAGGTTACAGTGAGCTATGGTCGTGCCACTGCACCCCAGCCAGGTGACAGAATAAGTCCCTATCTCTACAAGAAATAAAAATAAAAAATTAGCTGGTGTATGGCATGTGCCTGTCTCTAAAAAATAAAAAAAATAAAAATAAAAAAGACTATGTTAGTTTTCATTTCTACCTGAAGTTGATATCAACTCCAATTTAGACTTATTTTCCATATATAGAAGAAACAGCTATGTTAAGGATTTTATTTCTCTTTCAGCTGTGTCTGTATCCATCTAGCCATTCTAGAACTCAATTCACCTTCATTGTCTTCAACAATAATGTATTTTAAGGTTATTTCCATTTTTTCAAAGAGGACAGTTGAGACACAGGAAAAACTATGCATTGCCTGTAGAACACCTAATGTCACGTGTAGCTATACATATGAATACCTACTTTTAATCCCTATGTGAATGATTAACCTATGTTTCATTCCTCATCTCTGGCACATTAACATCATTCTGGAATAACCCCTTTTAAATTTAATTTAAATTTTAATATTTTATTATTTTACAGACAGAGTCTCGCTCTGCCACCCAGGCTGGAGTGCAGTGGTATGATCACGGCTCACTGCAGCCTTGACCTCCCGGGCTCAAGCAGTCCTCCCACCTCAGCCTCCCAAGTAGCTAGGACTATAGGGACACACCACTGCCAGGCTAATTTTTGTATCTTTTGTAGAGATGGGGTTTTGCCATGTTGCCCAGGCTGGTCTCAAACTCCTGGGCTCAACCAGTCTACCTACCTCTGCCTCCCAAAGTGTTGGGATTATAGGCATGAGCCACCACGCCCAGCCCACCACCCCTTTAAAATGTATTAGGATTCATTGCAGCATTTATTCACAATAGCCAAGATAGGAATCAACCTAAGTGTCCATCAACAGATGAATGGATAAAGAAATGTAGAGAGTGTGTGTGTATGTGTGTGTGTGTGTATACATCATGTGTAGCTATACTTATGAATACCTATTCTAATCCCTTTTTAATCCCTGTATTTATTATTGTATTAGCTCTGTTTCCCAGGCTAGAGATACAGCCACATGTAACACACACACACACACACACACACACACACACACACACACACACACACACACACAAACACACGAATACTATTCAACCTTAAAGGAGATCCTTTCATTTGCAACATTGTGGATGAACCTGGAGGACATTATGCAAACTGAAATAAGGTAGGCACAGAAAGACAATGTGGCTTTATTAAAAAACAAAGATTGCCGGGTGCTAATATTGACTTTTATTCTGAATATAAACATGAAAGAATAAAAGAATGTGAAATGTTATTTTTTGTTTCAAATGAAGAAATGCATAAGCAAAAAAAAAGAAAAGACAGACAAATACTTCATGATTTCACTTATAAGTGGAGTCTTGAAAAGTCAAATTCAGAAACAGTCTGGTAGAATGATGGTTGCCAGGATCTAGGGAGGAAGAGAGGGAACAGGTCAAAGGGTACAAAGTTTCGGTTAGGATGAATAAGTTCTGGAGATCCCTTGTACAACAATGGTGACTGTAGTTAATAATAATGTATTATATACTTGAAAAGGAGAGCAGAGTGTGGTGACTTGTGCCTGTAGTTCCACCTACTCAGGAGGCATAGGCCAGAGGATCACTGGGGCCCAGGAATTCAAAGCTGTGGTGAGCTTTGTCACACCACTGCACTTCAGCCTGGGCAACAGAGTGAGACAATCTCTCTCTCTTTTTTTTTTTTTTTTTTAAAGAAAACTGCAAAGACAATAAATCTTAAATGTTCTCACAAAACCAAAATAAGTATGTGAGGTGATGGATATGTTAATTAGCTCAATTTAACCATTTCACAATGTATACATACATCAAAACATCACGTTGTATATCATAAATACATAATTTTTATTTGTCTCCCGGGATGCAGTGGCTCACGCCTGTAATCCCAGCACGAGGTGGGTTGATCACCTGAGGTCACGAGTTCGAGACCAGCCTGGCCAACATGGTGAAACTCTGTCTCTACTAAAAATAGAAAATTAAAGGGGCATGCCCATAATCCCAGCTACTTGGGAGGCTAAGGCAGGAGAATCGCTTGAACCCGGGAGGCAGAGGCTGCAGTGAGCCAAGATCGCGCAATTGCACTCCAGCCTGGGCACAAGAGTGAAACTCCGTCTCAAAAAAGAATAATAATTTTTATTTGTCAACTATACCTTAACAAAAAATTAATTTTAAAATTAAATTTAAACAGTTAAGATTATGCAAAAAAAGTATTAATATTAAGACCCACTTGCTATGAAAGTTGCTACTAATGGTGCAAAGCTATTAGAAGAGGGGAAAAGATCCCAGCAAAAACTTGTGACTCTTCTTGGCTCAGAGAGACAATAAAATGAAAGTGCTTTATTTTAAAGACTTTTATTAGATTAGGAGCCAGAATTCACAAGTATTGGTGAAAAGAATAATAATTTAGGCAGGTTTGCCATATTTCATTGGCACTGGGTTATTGACACCTAGTGTTTTTTGATGATGCATTGTTACTAAAGAGCAACTGCAAACATTAAAACTGGCTCTTATTCCAGCCTTCCAGCCTTCAGTGACTTTTTGCTAGAATGAGTGCTTTGTAAACAAACTGTTGATTTTATGATGGCATTAGAGTCTGTCAAATTGCCAATCTTCCAGATTTATACAGCCTTAGAAATCATGTGATTTAATTAAGCATTCCATGATTTTGTTCTTATTGCTATCTCCAAAGTTTATGTTCTTGACCTAACAATTAGTTGTCAGAGTTACTGCTCTGAAAGAAATGGTGAATATTGCAATTGGAATGATAGCCCCCTTATTTTATAACTCATCTTACCTTCCACTACAGTGTGGTAGACTGGATAGCTGTCTAGCCTTAGTCAAGCCACTTAATTTCTCTGTGCTTTAGTTTTCTTACCTGTAAAATTGGGCTGCTGAAAACCATCTCAGATTATTATCAGGATTAAATGCAATGTGATATATAATGTGCACAGCACTGTTCACATAGACACTTAGTAATTTATAGATTCCTTTCAACTTCTCAACTTCTTTTAATATGAGTAAGTGTTCTTCACAGTTCCCTCTTGATAATTTCCTCCCCTCACCACTGTTAACCTTTTTGGGTTCTTATCCTTCTTGCAGAATCTGACGTAAGCAGTGACCCCTCCTCCCAGAAAAACGCACATGTCTATTAAATTTTGCCTACAACTTTGGGACTTCATAGAACTCCCCCCGCCCAGAAAAAAATCCCCCAATCTCATGTGTGGACCAGGTTAAGGATCCTCTTACCCTTGGTAGACTTACTCAGTTTTCCTAGCTTTGGTTGTCATCTCAGTGTAGATGGTTCCTAAATCTGGTTTTCTTTCTTTTGAACTGCTACCTGCTAGATGTTATCATGGTGTCTTAATATAATAGAGAATCAGTGAATGGAAGAGTAAATTGCAACATTTAATTATTGTTATTATAGGCCAAATAAATATATGACACTGTGTGGCTAGACTTAGAGATCTGTGTTGACTATAAACTACAGCCAATAAAGTTTAATCAGGTTAGATATCGACTAAGGCACAACTGTCTAATTTCCTGAGGTATTGATTGAAGCTTACTTGTAAGCTTGTGAAACAGTTTCAGTCACAGTTCCAAGTGTGGTAGCCTCTTTCAGATTGCAGGCTACCAGCCAAAATGTCTTCTCATCTGAAAATCTATTTCTCTTTCAAATGTTATCATGGAGAGCTAGGTGTTATTAGAGCCTTTGCATTCAACTTTTTCACTCATTCACAGTTTTAGTTAGGACTCATAATTGCAGGGGACAGAAACCCATTTTAAGGGGGAAAAAGAGTTATTGGCTCAAGTAATTAATTAATCCAATCAAACCTGATATAGCACAGATTTAGGGGCAAGAATGACCTTCAGGGGCTTTTACTTTGATCCTGTATTTCTCAGCTCTGTTTTCCTTTGCCTCTTGGCCTTACTTCTCCTGAGATGAGCTTTCTTCAGGTAATCAAGGGAAGATGGTTGCAAGCACCTCCAGTTCACATTGGTTGTATAGTTGCAATCCTACAGGAATCAAGGTAATATTTCCCCATCATGTAAAAAACAAAACAAAGCAAAACAAAAAACCCTGGGGAAGATTTTGGACTGGCTTGGGTGATTTAGTTAATGTTCCCTGCACTTACTCCTCTTCCGTATATACACAAAATGGGTAGGAAGTTCCCCAGTAGAATTGGTAAACAGATGTACAACAGTCTTCCAGGATTATTTTATAATAAAGTATTTGAGTAGAACCCAATTCTGTGGACAATAGTAGTCTTTTCATCTCTTAGGACATTTAATGAGATTGCCAGAAAACTACAACTCCTCCCACCTCTACCTGTTGGTATCACTTGATTGCTGAATTACCTATATAAATAGTTCTCAAATGTGCACCATCTAGGGGCTTGTTAGTAATGCAAATGCTGGGGCCTCATCCCAGACCTACTGTGTTAGAAACCTTAGGGGTGAGGCCCAGCAATCTGTACATTAAGCCATCTAAGTGATTTTTATGTATGCTAAAGCTTGAGAACCACTGACCTTTATCATGGATGCTCACAGCTGTCTGAAATAGGAGAATGAATCATTGTTAGAGTAATTAGTGATTTTATTATTGACAATCAATAATAAAAATAATTATTTAATTAAATAATAAACCCCTGACAGATGCAACTGAAAATGATTTTTTCTTTTTCTTTTTTCTTTTAGATATTTGTGTCCCATGTGATAGAAATGATTTTTTAAAATTTAAATTTTTGCAAGATTATTATCTGTATAATTTCAGTCATTTCAGTTCTAAGGAGATGCAGTCATCCAAAAAAAAAAAAAGAAAAAAAATCCACTGAAAAGGATTTTTTCATTGCCATTTATACACCAGTGAGACCAAATATGTTTATGCACGATGGTTTAATTCCTTATACAGTCCTATGAAATAGGTCATAGTGTTGTATCCCCATTGTTGCTGAAAAGAAAACCAAGGCTGAGAAAGGTTTAAAAAGTTGGCCAAGGTAGAGTATCTAATATAGCAGAAAAAGAGTTTGAATATATATTCAACCTCTATTTTCAAAAATAGAGGTTGAATATATTCAACAAGTCTTATATTGAGGGCCTATAGTGTTTCAAAACCTGTTGTAAGTATCAAGAGTATAAAAATACTTAAGACCAGCCAGGTGTGGTGGCTCATGCCTGTAATCCCAGCACTTTGGGAGGCCAAGGTGGGCGGATCACCTGAGGTCAGGAGTTCAAGACCAGCTTGACTAACATGGTGAAACCCCGTCTCTACTAAAAATTCAAAATTAGCCGGGCGTGGTGGCATGTGTCTGTAATCCCAGCTACTCAGGATACAGAGGCAGGAGAATTGCTTGAACCTGGGAGGTGGAGGTTGAAGTGAGCTGAGATCACGCCACTGCACTCCAGCCTGGGCGACAGAGCAAGACTGTCTCAAAAAAAAAAAAAAAAAAAAAAAAAAAAAAAGACTTTGTTTTTGTCCTCAAGGAAATCAGTCTTATAAATAAGACAGTAGGGTAATGATTTCTATAACAAAGGTATCTCAAGAGTGATTTGGGAAACAGTGGGGGGAACATCTGACTTTGCTTTGGAGGATTGGGGAAGGCTTCAAAGAAAGATTGGATCTTTGATGTTTGAACAGATAACATGAAAAATTCCTTTGATAAATACAAAAATCTCACTTTAATGTTTAATAAAATTTCAAAATAAATTAATTACTGTTTCTAAAAGCAAATCAAACCAATGATAACTTTGGAATGTTTTTTCAAACTACATTTGCCCTCTATTCCAATATGCTAATATGTTCTTGGAGGAGGGGCTCCTCTTAGCACTTAATAATTTTAAAAGTCACATTGTATGCCGTGGTTTAGATATACCATAATCTATTCAACTTGTTCCCATTTTTTGATAATTAAGCTTATAATTTTTACTATCACAAATGGTATTACAATGAACATTCTTTTACATTTACCTTTGTGTACTTATATTATGCCCTTAGTATAGCCCCTAGAAATAGAATGTTGGATCAAATATTTCTATTATGGATTTATATTTTTTCTTTTCTCATCTGTCATTTTCCTTTATTTTTTAAAAATGTTCTTTACATGTTTTCCTAACATGGGTTATGTTATAATGTTTTTTGGTATATTTCATTTTTGTAATAAGTATATAAAATGTAGATTAAACTTTTGGTGGTCTTTTGGTATATAAACCTATAGGATAAGGTGGTGCACATAACCTGTGTGTTTCTGATAGTATCATTTAAGGTAGTACATTGAAGAGGAATGAATGCAAGTGGAAATCAGGAGGTATACATTATTATCCCATTTTAAACAGTGACTATTGAATTATATAATTTCAAAGTCATTTTCTTCATGTGTGAACTTCCTTATCTTTGAACATGAGAATAGTATTAACTTTAAACTTTTGCCCTCCTTATAAAATGAAGAGATGGGCCGGGCACGGTGGTTCACACCTATAATCCCAGCACTTTGGAGGTTCATGCCTGTAATCCCAGTGCTTTGGGAGGCCGAGGCGGGCAGATCACAAGGTCAGGAGATCAAGATCATCCTGGCTAACACAGTGAAACCCTGTCTCTACTAAAAACACAAAAAATTAGCCGGGTGTGGTGGCACGCACCTGTAGTCCCAGCTACTCAGGAGGCTGAGGCAGGAGAATCGCTTGAACCTGGGAGACAAAGATTGCAGTGGTGCCACTGCACTCCAACCTGGGTGACAGAGCAGGACTCCGTCTCAAAAAAATAAATAAAGAGAAGATATGTATAAAACAGAGACCAGTGTTTTTGTTTTTGTTTTTTTTTTTTTTTTTTTTTGAGAGATGGAGTCTCGCTCTGTAACCCAGGCTGGAGTTCAGTGGCGCAATCTTGGCTCACTGCAACCTCAGACTCCCGGGTTCAAACGATTCTCTTGCCTCAGCTTCTCAAGTAGCTGGGAGTACAGGTGCGCACCACCACATCCAGCTAATTTTTTTTTTTTTTTTTTTTTTTAAGGCAGAGTCTTGCTCTGTCGCCTAGGCTGGAGTGCAGTGGCGCCATCTTGGCTCACTGCAAGCTCCGCCTCCCGGGCTCACGCCATTCTTCTGCCGCAGCCTCTCTGGTAGCTGGGACTGCAGGCGCCCGCCACCACGCCCTGCTAATTTTTGTATTTTGTTTGGTAGAGACGGGGTTTCACTGTGTCAGCTAGGATGGTCTTGATCTCCTGACCTCGTGATCCGCCCACCTCGGCCTCCTAAAGTGCTGGGATTACAGGCGTGAGCCACTGCGCCCGGCCCATTGTATTTTTTATTAGAGACGGGCTTTCACTATATTTTGGCCAGGCTGGTTGCCAACTCCTGACCTCAAGTGATCCGCCCGCCTCAGCCTCTCAAAGTGCTGGGATTACAGGCGTGAGCTACCGCACTCAGCCTCAAGGTTTTATAGTTTGAAGGTGGCTGGTTAAATATACACCTGTCAAGTTTCTTCCTTAATATTTGATTTACAAATGATTAAAAGTGTAAAACTGAGTTATCAGATCCACAATAAAGAAACAACGTTGATTTTTAAATTAGATCAGCCATAAGCCTAGCTGAAAAAAAAAGATACCAACTTTATTCTATATAAATAACTTATTCTGATAAACACCAGATTTACTTTCTGCTATAATACAATCATTAAAAGTTTAAATTTATTTGACTTTTTTAAATTAAAAAATATTTCCCCACAAGGAAGTTATATCTTACAAGGAAAGGTTTTCCAGAATTTTAGTTTTAGTGATAAGGTTTCTTCTATTAGAATTCTTAATGTATTAGTCCATTCTCACACTGCTAATAAAGACATACCCGAGACTGGGTAATTTGTAGTGGAAAGAGCTCATGCCTGGCCCAGAACTTTCTGAAACGAAAATGTTCAATATTTATGCTATCCAATATGGTAGCCATTAACCAGCGAGCACTTGAAATGTGGCTAGTTTGAGGAACTGAAGTTTTATTTTATTTTATTTTTTTAGAGACAGGGTCTCACTTGGTCGCCCAAGCTGGAAGTGGTATGATCATAGCTCACTGCAGCCTTGACCTCCTGGTCTCAAGTCATCCTCCTCTAGTAGCTGGAGCTATAGGTGCATACCAGCTAATTTTTTTTTTTTTTTTTTTTTTGGTAGAGACAGAGTCTTGCTTTGTTGCCCAGGCTGATCTCAAACTCCTGGGCTCAAATGATCCTCCTGCCTCCCAAAGTCCTAGAATTATAGGTGTGAGCCACTGAGCCTGACCTAGAGATTTAATGTTATTCCATTTTAATTAATTTAAATCAAAATAGCTACATATGACTAGTGGCCTTTTTGGTTTTTTTTTTGTTTGTTTGTTTTTGTTTTTTTTTTTTTGAGATTGGGTATTGCTCTGTAGCCCAGGCTGGAGTGCAGTAGCATGATCTCAGCTCACTGCAACCTCCGCCTCCCAGGTTCAAGCGATTCTTGTACCTCAGTCACCGGAGGTCTCTTTAATTGACTCACAGTTTAGCATGGCTGGGGAGGCCTCAGGAAACTTACAGTTGTGCCAGAAGGGAAAGCAAACACGTCCTTCATATGGTAGCAGGAAGGAGAAGTGCCAAGCAAAAGGGGAAAAGCCTCTTATAAAACCATCAGATTTTGTGAGGTTTTTTACAAAAGGACTCCCTTGTAGCACTTCAATATCCTTTCTTATCCTTTTCTCTACCCCTAAAGGAGATACGATACCATGACCTATTTCACAGGATTGTGTAAAGAATTAAACCGTCGTGTATAAACATATCACTTGCTATCATGAGAACAGCAGCATGGGGGTAACCGCCCCATGATTCCTTCGCATGACACATGGGGATTATGGGAACTACAATTCAAGAGGGGATCAGGGTAAGGACACAGCCAAACCATGTCACTTAATAAGACACCTGATAGGCCGGGCGCGGTGGCTCACGCCTGTAATCCCAGCACTTTGGGAGGCCGAGGCGGGCGGATCACGAGGTCAGGAGATCGAGACCATCCCGGCTAAAACGGTGAAACCCCGTCTCTACTAAAAATACAAAAAAAATTAGCCGGGCGTAGTGGCGGGCGCCTGTAGTCCCAGCTACTTGGGAGGCTGAGGCAGGAGAATGGCGTGAACCCGGGAGGCGGAGCTTGCAGTGAGCCGAGATCCCGCCACTGCACTCCAGCCTGGGCGACAGAGCGAGACTCCGTCTCAAAAAAAAAAAAAAAAAAAAAAAAAAAAAAATAAGACACCTGATAGATTGTCTTGTATTATTTTTCCTTTGCCTTCTTACAATCTCAGTGATTAGAATTGGGCTGAAAACAATACATCAAATTCTCAGCAAAATCCTTATGGGTTGCTGGATACCGAGGGTTTTTAAGATCTTTAGACTTCACTATATAGAACAAATGTTGAATGGGAATTTTCTTTATTTCTATAGCGTTTTGTTTTTCTGTCAGAATTTCCTGGTAGTTAAGGCTAAGGGATTTTCTTCTTGCAATCAGGAGCCTAAGGGAGAGTTATTCAAAGCCTTTTTTCTTTGTGGTATGTGCTTACCAGGCAGAGTAGTCACTGTATTCCAATAAGAGAACCTATTGCCAAAACACCCACTAGAGCAGAAAACTGACCTACTTAATGCTGACAAGTTAAAAAAAAATCTGGAATTGTAGCAGCGTTGGATCAACTTCTTTCTCTGGTGGTGTATGGGTGGGTAGTGGTAGAGAAAAGGATAAGAAAGGATATTGAAGTGCTGCGAGGGAGTAAGTAAAAAGTAAATATTTAATTACCTGCAATCTATTCAATTAAAAGCTATATATCTGTTGCAATTTGAAGGTTTTTGAAATACAGAAGTTCTTTGTTTTTTGAGATGGCATCTCACTATGTTGCCCAGGCTGGAGTGCAGTGGCTGTTCACAGATGCCATCATAGCATGCTGTAGTCTCAAACTCCTGGCCTCAAGTGATCCTCCTGCCTCAACAATAGCTGAGACCAGAGGCTTGCACCCCTGATCCTGGTTAATAACAGTTCTTCTTAAATCACTTTGAACTATTAAAAAAAAATAGGAGGTTCCTAGGACTTTCATGGTAATATTCTAGAAAAGCCCGCTAGTTAAGGTTGTCAGACAGCATTTTATCAGTGTACAATACTTCAGAATCTATAGATATTGAAATAAAAGTACTTATTTGAAGTAAGTAACTGTGGGCCTTAACTATCAAACTCATTTTCTCCATTGCAACGAATTTTTCAATTACTCCGATCATTACTACCATCCAAGTTTTAGAGCTGTGCCTTTCATTACAGAAGCCACTAGTGGGCAGGCACGATGGCTCATGCCTGTAATCCTAGCACTTTGGGAGGCCGAGGCTGGTGGATCACTTGAGGCCAGGAGTTGGATACCAGCCTGGCCAACATGACGAAACCCAGTCTCTACTAAAAATACAAAAATTAGCCGGGTGTGGTGGCACATGCCTGTAATCCCAGCTACTCGGGTGACTGAGGTACAAGAATCGCTTGAACCTGGGAGGCGGAGGTTACCGTGAGCTGAGATCATGCCACTGCACTCCAGCCTGGGCTACAGAGCAAGACCCAATCTCAAAAAAAAAAAAAAAAAAAAAAAGGCCACTAGCCATATGTAGCTATTTTGATTTAAATTAATTAAAATTAAATCTCTAGGCCAGGCTCAGTGGCTCACACCTATAATTCTAGGACTTTGGGAGGCAGGAGGATCACTTGAGCCCAGGAGTTTGAGATCAGCTTGGGCAACAAAGCGAGACTCTGTCTCTACCAAAAAAAAAAAAAAAAAAAGAATTAACTGGTATGCACCTATAGCTCCAGCTACTAGAGGAGGATGACTTGAGACCAGGAGGTCAAGGCTGCAGTGAGCTATGATCATACCACTTCCAGCTTGGGCGACCAAGTGAGACCCTGTCTCTAAAAAAATAAAATAAAATAAAACTTCAGTTCCTCAAACTAGCCACATTTCAAGTGCTCGCTGGTTAATGGCTACCATATTGGATAGCATAAATATTGAACATTTTCGTTTCAGAAAGTTCTGGGCCAGGCATGGTGGCTCATGCCTGTAATCCCAGCTACTCAGGAGGCTAAGGCAGGAGAATCGCTTGAACCTGGGAGGCAGAGGTTACAGTGAGCCGAAATTGTGCCATTGCACTCCAGCCTGGGCAGCAAGAGCGAAACTCCGTCTCAAAAAAAAAAAAAAAAAAAAATTACAGTTATTTGGCTGGGCATGGTGGCTCACACCTGTAATCTCAGCATTTTGGGAGGCCGAGGCAGGAGGATCACTTGAGCTCCAGAGTTCAAGACCAGCCTAGGCAACATGGCAAGACCTCATCTCTAACAAACAAACAAACAAACAAACAAAAAAGCCAGGCGTGGTGGCACGTGCCTATAATCTCAGCTACTTGGAAGGCTGAGGTGGGAGGATGGTTTGAGCCTCGGAGGCAGAGGTTGCAGTTAGCCAAGATCACCCTATGGCACTCCAGCGTAGGCGAGAGAGCCAGACCCTGTCTCAAAAAAAATTATAGTTTTTTAATTTTATGCATGTATTTCTTCTTTCTTGTATGTATTGTTGATTCTTTCCTGTGTTACTGTGCTTCCATCTGGGATTATTTTCTTTCTTCATAGACTGCACTTTTCTTTTAAGTGTAAGTCTATTGGTAATGAGTGTTCTATTTTTGTCTGAAAGCATTTTTAGAAATTTTGTCTTAAGCCAGGTGAGGTGGCTCAAGCCTGTAATCCCAACCTTTTGGGAGGCCGAGGCGGGTGGATCATGAGGTCAGGAGATCGAGACCATCCTGGCTAACACAGTGAAACCCCGTCTCTACTAAAAAATATAAAAAATTAGCTGGGCATGGTGGTGGGCCCCTATAGTCCCAGCTACTCAGGAGGCTGAGGCAGGAGAATGGTGTGGAGGAAGACTCCGTCTCAAAAAAAAAAAAAGAAATTTTGTCTTAATTTTAAAAGGATAGTTTTATTGGGCATAGAATTCCAGGTTGGCAGTTCTTTTCTTTCAGCATTTTAAATATATCATTTTATTGCCTTCTGACTTCATTGTTTCTATTTTATTTATTTATTTTTTTGAGACAGAGTCTCACTCTGTCGCCCAGGCTGGAGTGCAGTGGCATGATCTTGGCTCACTGCAACCTCTGCCTCCTGAGTTCAAGCGGTTCCTCTGCCTCAGCCCCTCCCAGTAGCTGGGACTATAGGCGCGTCCCACCATGCCTGGCTAATTTTTGTATTTTTTGTAGAGACAGGGTTTTACCATGTTGGCCAGGCTGGTCTCGAACTCCTGACCTCAGGTGATCTGCCCACCTCAGCCTCCCAAAGTGCTGGTATTACAGATGTGAGCCACCGTGCCCAGCCCCCCATTGTTTTTATTAGAGAAGCAATGTCTTCGGTTTTTAGCAGTTTTCAGTAAGATGCTTACGTGGTTTTCTTTCATGCTTTTTATGATTTTCATCATTTAAGATGTTTCAGGTCCGGAGATCCTCTAGGATCTGTAGCTTGATGTCTTTTGTCAGGTTTGGAATATCTCTTCTGATATTGCTTCTGTCTCATTCTTTCAGTTCCCTCTGGGATTCTAGATAACTGTATGTTAGATCTTTCTCTGCATCTCACATGTCTCTCATGCTCTTTTCTGTATTTTCTATCTTTTTCTTTGTGCTCCATCTAGATATTTTCTGTTGACCTTTTTTCTAGTTCAGTTAATGTTCAGTCTGCTATTAAAAGCATCTGCTATATTGTTAGTTTTATATTATGTATTTTTTAGTTCTCGATTTTCAATTTAACTTTTTTTTTGTTTTCATAGATTCCAGTTCTCTGGTGAAATTCTCATCTTGTCCTCTATTTTCCTGAACATATTAATCACAATTATTTAAAGTCTGTGTGTGGTAATTAACAATGTCTGGATCCCTGGATCCCCATTTGATCTTTCTCTTTTTTTATTTTTTGAAGACAGAGTTTTGATCTGTCACTGAGGCTGGAGTGCAGTGGCACAATCTCAGCTCACTGCAACCTCTGCCTCATGGGTTCAAGTAATTCTTGTGCCTCAGCCTCCCAAGTAGCTGGGATTACATATGTGTGCCACCACGCCTAGCTGATTTTTGTATTTTTGGTAGAGACAGGGTTTTGCCATATTGGCCAGGTTGGTCTCAAACTCCTGCCCTCAAGTGATCTGCCCACCTCAGCCTCCCAAAGTGCTGGGATTACAGGCATGAGCCACTGTGCCCAGCTCCTATTTGATCTTTTCCTATTGTCTTCTTTTTTTCTCTTGATTTTCAGTCATTTGGTTCTGTCTCCTAGCATTCCTGGTCATTTTAAAAATGAATGTCAAACATCATATATGGGAAATAATAGAGGCTCTTTATGATGATACTGTTCTGTAGAGAGGATTTGTTTTTCTCCTCTCTGATGGTAGTTAAAAGTAGGAGTAGATGACATTGTTGTAATATGGACTTGAGATGATCTGAGGCTTTGTTTTATGGTTCTCAAGGGCTGGTTTAAATCTAGTTTCCACTTCAAGAGTATTGTATTTCAGAGGTACCAGAGGTACCTAGGGTATGTGTCAGGGCCTCTCCTTCTTGTCAGGCCCTGGACTCTTAATTTTTCTGTGAGACTACCTAAAGTTCTGCTTACTTTTTTTTTTTTTTGCTATAAAAATAGGCACTTTGGCTGGGCGCAGTGGCACTTTGGGAGGCTGAGGCAGGTGGATCACCTGAGGTCAGGAGTTCAAGACCAGCCTGGCCAACATGGTAAAACCCTGTCTCTACTAAAAATACAAAAATTAGCCAGGCATGATGGCATGCGCCTGTAATCCCAGCTGCTCAGGAGGCTGAGGCAGGAGAATCACTCGAACCCAGGAGGCGGAGGTTGCAGTGAGCCAAGATCGTGCCATTGCACTCCAGCCTGGGCAACAAGAGCAAAACTCCATCTCAAAAAATAATAATAATTTTAAAAAGGCACTTTGCCTCCGCATGTTGGGATTCAGTAAATACCCCAAGGGCAAAAGCAATATAGCATGTCCAGGCTGTCTTTTCTGTGATTGCTTTTTTTCTGGGATTTTAGCGCCACAAATCTGCCTGTCTTGGTAGCTGTGAACTGTAATTTCTGTCGCTGTGAGGTTTCCAAAAGCTCTGGTTTGAAGCTGGTTGCCCCAGCAGAAACAAAGCAGTGGAGAATGTCAAGCTTAACTCTGCATTTTATTTTTCTCTGGTATTTTGGCCTGTCTTCTCTTACTTGCATTATTTATTTGTTTTTATTAATTACTTATAATTATTTATTACTATTTATTCATTTTTAAACAATATTAATTTATAATAAAACAGTATTAAACAATTTTAAGCATATTTTAATCACTGCAGTAAGGCAAACATATGAGGATTCTGCCTTCATGCAGCTTATATTCTTGTAGGGAGGAAAGGTGCCTTTATTTAAAATTGTGATAAGGAGATGTACAGAGTGTTATGAACTTCTTATAGTGGTAGCTGGCTTAGTTAGAGTGGGGGATGGTCAAGGACAGCTACTTTGAGGAAGTAATATTTGAGCAGAGCTCTGAGGATGAGTAGAATTAACTTAGGGAAAAATAATGGGTTGTTAGAACTATGTATGGCTTAGAGACCTTGAAGGGAAAAGAAGCATGGCAGGTTTAAAGCATCAAAGAAGCTTGGTCTGATGGGCAAGGGCTAAATCGTTTCAAGCTTTATAAGCCATATTAAGGATTTTCTTACCTTTTTTTTTTCTTTTTCTTCCAATTCTGTTCTGATCATTGGTCTGACTCTAATATACCTTCTCTTCAGTGTTTTCTGTCCCAAGACAGAGAGATTTATCTAGTTATTTATTGTATAGAAATATATTAGGTACCTTTCATAGACAAGGTTCTAAATTAGGTACCGAGGTTGATTAAAGACAATGTGGAATGCTGCCTTTAGATTTAGACAAACCTGAGTTTAAGTATTAGTTGTCTTATTAACTGTGTTTCTTTGGAGCAGTTATTTAATATCTCTGAACCTGAATTTTCTTGCTGGTTAAATACTAACAATAAAAGTGATAATAGAAGAATTAAAAGAACTAATTGAGGTCGGGTGCAGTGGCTCATGCCTGTAATCCCAGCACTTTGGGAGGCTGAGGTGGGCAGATCACTTGAGGTTAGGAGTTTGAGACCAGCCTGGTCAACATGGTGAAACCACGTCTCTACTAAATACAAAAATTAGCTGGGTGTGGTAGCACGCACCTGTAATCCCAGCTACTTGGGAGGTTGAAGCAGGAGAATTGCTTGAACCTGGGAGGTGGTGGTTGCAGTGAGCGGAGATCGTGCCACAGCACTCCAGCCTGGGTGACAGAACAAGACTCTGTCTCAAAAAAAAAAAAAAAAAACTAATTGATGAATGTGCCCAATCAGTGGTGGTGCTTATTAGTATTATCATACAACTATAAAACACAAATTCTACTTTCAGGGTACCTAAGATCTATGGGATCATGGCATACACCAATAGTTACAATATAACAAATAGTATAAGAAATGAAAAAAATTGGTGATTCAGAGGGAAGAGTTACTACATTCAGAGTTGGGGGTTAAGACTATTTAATGATGAAAGTGACATGTGTGCTAGAGTAGGAACTAGCTTGTCATTAAAAAAATTTAGTGTGACATGTAACTATCTCAGTCATAAACCTTTACATTTTATCAGGCTAACAAACTTTTGATTTGTTCCCTTCAACCTGCTCCTCCTTCTGTCTGCTGCATCTCACAATAAATGGCAACTCCATTCTTCCGATTGCTCAGGTCAGCAATCTTAGAGTCATCTTTCACTCTCACTCTGTATTTCCAATTCATTAACAAAATCCTGTTAGTTCTACCCATAAGATAACGTCCAGAATCCTACCATGTGCAGAGGTCTTGGAAAATGACTGTGGATTATTGTAAACCTACTCATTTGGCAATTTCTGTTGCAGCTAGGCTTCAGATGCGGTTTCTCCTGGAGCTGGGGGCGCAAACAGGAAGTGGACCATCTCCCTGACATACCTCTACTGTTGTCACTCTGGTCCAAGCTATTGTCACCTCTCATCTGGATTAATTTAATAGTTTTCTAACTGGTTCCCTGTTTTATGATCTATTTATAATACAATAACCAAGGTGATTCTTAAAAAACATAAATCTCGTTATTCCTACTCTCAGAACCCTTTAGTAGCTTTTACCTTATTAGGAACAGAAGCCCAAGTACTTGGAATGGCCTCTGAAACTTTCTGAAACATTCGGCTTTCTTTCCAACCTCATTTCCTCGCCTCCCTTCACTTAGTATATTGTACCCACATCATCTCCTTGTTATTCCTCTAACACTGCAACTTCCATCTAAAGGACTTGTACACTTGCCTCAGGACCTGTACACTTGTTCCTTCCACCTGGAGTGCTCTCTTCCACCTATGTACTTGGGCTTGCCCTCTTACTACTCAACTGCCTTTAGATCTGTTTGCTCAAATATAACCTAACAAATGAAGCCGTCTCTTAACTATTTATTTAGAAGAGCCGCCTCCTTTCTACCCTGTTCCCCAATCCCAACACTTTCTTTTCTCCAATCCTACTTGATTTTTCTTTATATGTCTCAACATATTATGTATTTGTTTCTTCATTATTTTGACAGTCTCTCCAAATAAAGTGCAACTACCGTGAGGGTAGAGGGTTTGTTTCATTCTCTGCTATATCTCTATAGAAGAATACTTATCTTGTAATTAGTTGTCAATACATAATTTGTTGAATGAATGAACATGTTTTCTGGTTCAAGTAATAATTTTTTTTACAAAGTTCATTAAAAATCATTTTTAAATTAAATTAAAAAGCAACACTTACGTGCTTTCCCCTGATGAAGGAGGAGGAAGTACTAGTTTTTTGAGAAATGATTTTTGATAAGATTTAGAAATGTGAGTTGCTTGATAGTTCAGGTAGTTGAGTTAATTGGGTAAAATGCCATATATAAAGGGCAAATGTATATGGTTCCATTGCTCCTTGATCATGGAGAGGTCTTTTTAGCCGCCTCTTTGAATCTGGTGGCAATTTTTAAGAAAATAGACTTTATTTTTAAGAGGAGTTTTAGGTTCACAGCAAAATTGAGCAGAAAGTACAGAGAGTTCCCATATTTCTTCTGCCCCAATATAGGCACAACCTCCCCACTATCAACTTCCAGCACACATCTTTATTACCCAAAGTCCATAGTTTACTTTAGGGATAACTCTTGGTAGTGTACATTCCCTGGATTTGGACAAATATGTAATGACATGGTCTGCCATTATAGTATAGTACAGAATAATTTCACTGCCCTAAAAATCTGTGCTCTGCCTGTTTATCTTTCCCAGACCCCTTACCCCTGGCAGTTACAGGTCCTTTTACTGTCTCCATAGTGTGACATTTTCCAAAATGTCATGTAGTTGGGGTCATACAGTATGTAGCCTTTTCAGATTGGCTTTTTTCACTTAGTAATATGCATTTAAGGTTCCTCCATGTCTTTTCATAGCTTGAAGTCTTATTTGTTTTTTAGCACTGAATAATATTCCACTTTTTGAATGTACCACAGTTTGTTTATCTATTCACCTGCTGAAGGACATCTTGGTTGCTTCTAAGTTTTGGCAATTATGAATAAAGCTGTTGTGAACAACTGTGTGCAGGCTTTTGTGTGGACATAAGTTTTCCACTCATTTGGATAAATACCAAGTAATGTAATTGCTGGATTGTATGTGAAGAGTATGTGCAGTTTTGTAAGCAACTGCCAAACTTTTCTAAAGTGGCTGTGCCATTTTGCATTCCCATCAACAATGAATGAGGGATTCCTGTTGCTGGAACTGCTTCTCAGAATTTGGTGTGGTCAGTGTTTTGGATTTTGACCATTCTAGTGGGTGTGTAATGGTATCTGGTTGTTTTAATTTGCAGTTCCCTCATGACATATGATAATTTCTTTTCATATGCTTATTTACCATCTGTATTTCTTCTTTAGTGAAATATGTTCAAGTCTTTGCCGATTTTTAAATCAGGTTGTTAGTTTTCTTACTGTTAAGTTTTAAGTTTTTTGGTATGTGTGTGTGTGTGTGTATGTGTGTGTGTGTGTGTGTGTGTGTATGTGTATATATATATCTATATGTATGCATGTGTGTGTATATATATCTATCTCCAGGCTGGTGGCAGTGGCGCAATCTCAGCTCACTGTAGCCTCCACCTCCTGAGTTCAAGCAAATCTCCTGCCACAGCTTCCCAAGTAGCTGGGATTACAGGTACCCGCCAACACACCTGGCTAATTTTTGTATTTTTGGTAGAGACAGGGTTTCGCCATGTGGGCTAGGCTGGTCTCGAACTCCTGACCTCAGGTGATCTGCCCGCCTTGGCCTCCCAAAGTGCTGGGATTACAGGCGTGAGCCACCATGCCCGGCCCTATATTTTGGATAATAGTTTGTTGTTGTTGTTGTTTGTTTGTTTGTTTGAGACGGAGTCTCTGTCACCCAGGCTGGAGTGTAATGGCATGATCTCGGCTCACTGCAACCTCCACCTCCAGGGTTCAAGTGATTCTTCTGCCTCAGCCTCCCAAGTAGTTGGGATTACAAGCATGTACTACCAAGCCCAGCTAATTTTTGTATTTTTAGTAGAGATGGGTTTCATCATGTTGGCCAGGCTGGTCTCGAACTCTGGACCTCAAGTGATCTGCCTGCCCCCCTTGGCCTCCGAAAGTGCTGGATTACAGGCATGACCCACTATACCCAGCCTGGATAATAGTCCTTTATCAGACATGTTTTCTGCAAATACTTTCTCCCAGTCTGTTGCCTGTCTTCTCATTCTCTTGACTGTGTCTTTAGTAGAGAAGAAATTTTAAATTTTAATGAAGTCCAGCTTATTAATTATTTCTTTAATGGGTTGTGCCTTTGGTGTATATTTTAAAAGTCATTGCCTTACCCAAAGTCATCTAGATGTTATCCTATGTTATCTTCCAGGAGCTTTATAGTTTTACATTTTACATTTAGGTCTGTGATCCATTTTGAGTTAATTTTAGTGAAGGATGTTAAGGTCTATATCTAAGTTCTTTTTCTTACCTTTTCTTTTTTCTTTTTCATTTGGGTGTCCAGTTACTACAGCACCATTTGTTGAAAAAGACTGTCTTTTCACCATTGTGTTGGCTTTGCTCTTTTGTCAAAGATCAGTTGACAATAACTAACTAAATAAATATTTTTATTTATAGAGATGGGAGTCTCACCATGTTGTCTAGGCTGGAGTGCTGTGGATTCACAGGCACAGTTATAGCACACTGTAATCTCAAACTCCTGGACTCAAGCAGTCTTCCCACTTCAGTCTCCTGAGTATCTGGCATGCCAGGCACACTCACCATACTCAGCTCCAGTTGACTGTGTTTATGTGGGTCTGTTTCTGAGTTCCATTGATCTATTTGTCTGTATTTTTGAAATACCATACTGTCTTGATTACTGTGGCTTTATAGTAAGTCAGTTTTGAAATTGAGTAGCATATTGAGTTGGCTATTCTGGGTCTTTTGCTTCTCTTTATAAAGTTTATTTTTATTTTTACTTGTTTTTTTTTTTTCCATATAAACTTTAGAATGAGTTTGTCAGTATCCACAAAATAACTTGTCGGGATTTTGACCAAGTTGGGAAGACCTGACATTTTGACAGTATTGAGTCTGCCTATTCATGAACATGGAATGTCTCTCCATTTATTTAGATTTCTTTAATCAGTTTTTTCATTTTTCTTGTGTAGATTTTGAAAATATTTGATTAGACTTATACTTAAGTCATTTTTGGAGGGTGCTAATGAAAATGGTATTATGTTTTAATTTCAAATTCAGATTGTTTATTACTGGTATATAGGAAAGTGATTGACTTTTATATATTAACCTTGTGTCCTGTAACCTTGCTATAATTGCTTATTAATTCTGGAAGTTTTTTCATTGATTCTTTCAGGTTTTCTACATGGGAAGTCTTGTCATTTGTGAACAAAAACAGTTTTCTTTCTAACTTTCCAGTCTAAGTTTTATTTCCTTTTTTTGTCATATTGCATTAGGACTTCCAGTATGACGTTGAAAAGGAATGATGGGAGGAGACATCCTTTTCTTGTTCTTGATCTTAATGGGAAGGCTTCTAGTTTCTCACCATTAAGTGTGATGTAGCTGTAGGGTTTTAAAAATGGACATGCTTTGTCTTGTTGAGGAAGAATCTTTGTGTTCCTAGTTTGTATAAAATTTTTATCATGAATGGATGCTGGATTTTGTTAAATGCTTTTTCTGCATTTATGGAGATGATCATGTGATTTTTGTTTTTTAGCCTGTTAATATGATGGATTATATTAATTGACTTCCACATGTGAAACCAGCCTTGCATACCTGAGATAAACTGGACTTGGTCATGGTGTATAATTCTTTTTATATGTTCTGTTTTCAATTTGCTAATATTTCTGGTCACATTTTTTATTAATAGCTTGGTTGCATCCCTTCATGGCATGCTGATCAAATACTCAGTTAAAACTTTGAAAAATGGCATATATGTTGTATGATAGAATTGAAGTCTCATTTTTTTTCTACAGGCTGGATTTGGCATAGCAATATGGAATTTAATATGCATTATATAAAGATTTTTTGAGAATCAGTTTAATATGCATAGTTAATGACACACATTACCTGGGATTTTGATTCCAGCTCTGCTACTTAGAGGCTATGTTACCTTGAACAAGTTACTTAATCTCTTTATGTCTCAGTTTCTTCATCCATAAAATGGGGATTGTTGTAAAATATAAAAGAAGTAATAAACATAAGTCTCTTAATAGCTGGCACATAGTAAGGGACGATGAAATGTTATCTGTGATTATTATAAAATTCTGTACTTGGGTGCAAACAAACTCAATTTTTTAGGACTTGACTGATATGATTTAGGACAACTAAGAAAGACTAGATATCTTAGTCTTTTGTTGATTGTAAAGTCAAGGAAATGATAGTGTGACTTGAATAGGATAAAAGTTAATATAGGCCAGGCTGACAAGTCATTTATAATCTCTTGAAGCCAGAGGCAACACCTTAGCAAATAACTTAAAGGTTAGAAGAACAAGGTTTCTAGGCCAGGCGCAGTGGCTCACGCACTTTGGGTGTCCGAAGCGGGCAGATCAGCTGAGGTCAGGAGTTCGAGACCAGCCTGGCCAACATGGTGAAACATCATCGCTACTAAAAATGCAAAAATTAGCTGGGCATGGTGGTGGGCGCCTGTAATCCCAGCTATTCAGGAGGCTGAGGCAGGAGAATCGCTTGAATCCAGAAGGTGGAGGTTGCAGTGAGCTGAGATCATGTTGGACTCCAGCCTGGGCGACAAGAGAGAGACTCTGTCTCAAAAAAAAAAAAAAAAAAAAAGTTAATGTAACTTAAAGGGCTAAAAAAAAGTTTCCTAAAAAAGTATTTGGTTAGCAGTTCTGATGTTGCCTATGCCAATCTCCCACTATAATAATTAGAAGGAAAATAAACATTTAATATTTCTGAAATTGAGATGGGTGGAAAACCCTTTGCCAGAATCTAGGAGAAATATTCAATTACTTATGAAATAGAAGGATCTGGACAGAGAAAGAACCACCATTCCCAGATTTTGGCACAAGGTTCTCTGAAAGAAGGAAGGAAAATATTTTATGTCTTTCTTTCCTGTGGGCTATCCTTGGACCTGTAGACACAGGGTTGGCACCAGCTGGAAAATTGGGCAGCTAATTCTTCTTTGCCAGTGACTTTCAAGCCTAATAAAATATACAAAAGGAAGCTTTTGGCCAGGCGCAGTAGCTCACACCTGTAATCCCAGTGCTTTAAAAAGGCCAAGGTGGGAGGACTGCATGAGGCCAGGAGTTTGAGACCAACCTGGACAACATTGTAGAGAGAAAATTCTCTACGAACATTTTTAAAAAAAAATTAGCTGAGCGGCTGGGCGTGGTGGCTCACGCCTATAATCCCAGCACTTTGGGAGGCCAAGGTGGGCGGATCACCTAAGGTCAGGGGTTCGAGACCAGCCTGACCAACAATGGTGAAACCCCGTATCTACTAAAAATACAAAAATTAGCCTGGCGTGGTGGTGCATGCCTGTAATCCCAGCTACTAGGGAAGCTGAGGCTGGAGAATCGCTTGAACCCGGGAGGTGGAAGTTGAAGTGAGCCGAGATCACACTGTTGCACTCCAGCCTGGACAACAAGAGCAAAATTCCATTTCAAAAAAGAAAAAAAATTAGCTAAGCATGGTGGTGTGCATCTGTAGTTCTAGCTACTTGGGAGGCTGAGGTGGGAAGATCTGTTGAGCCCAAGGAGTTCGAGGTTACAGTGAGCTGTGATCCTGCACTGCATCCTAGGTGACAGAGTAAGACCCTGTCTTTAAAAAAAAAAAAAAAAAAAAGGAAGCTTTCCTTTCTCAGTGAGGCCTAACTCAAACATTCTGATACTGCAAATTATGTTTCTTCTTCCTGACCCTATTTCTAAACTCCTTTACCTTGTTCAAAATTTTTCTACAGCTTTAAGGTTTTATAACTAGCTATATAATTTACTTATGTTTATTGTTTGTCTCCCACACAACTAGAATGTAAGTCCCATGATGGATTTGTTCACTGAAGTATCCTAAGCACCAAGAACAGTGCCTGGCAAGCATAGACACTCAATAAATATTTGTGAGTTGAATGAACAAAATCTGAGGCTAAAGCCCAATATATTATACTAGTAAAAGCATAGCAGCTTTAACTGAAGACAGGGCAGGGACTTATAATTCTACCTACTGGGTCCTGCCCTTGCACCTTGTGGCATCACTACAGGGAGCACAGTTTGAAGCTACCTTACAAGTAATGATCTATGAGGTTGCTGAAATAGGGTTCACCCATTTCATTTTATCCCTTCTTTCTGTATTACCCAAAGACAGTGATTCCTAGGAAACAGCTGGGCCTGGGTGGGGTGTTGGTAGATGCTTGCAGTGGCTATGGAAAGGTTCATTTTTTATGGGAAATATACTTCCTAAATTGTAAAGCTCTATTCCAACGTCAGTGAGAGAGAGAATCCTGGTTACAATTTTTATGACATCAGTTGAGAATGTCATGCTAATGTTTTATGAAAAACAAAAAATCAATAAGGATAGGGATAAAACCCTAAAAGTATAAACAGAATCAGATGAACCTAACTGTATTTCACCTCCACTTAAAGATAAGTGAAATGGTATACTCTTAAACTCAAGGTGAACAGAAATATAAACAGTAATGAATATATAAACAGTGATGAATAATGAAATATAATGAAATGAATATAACATATTGAAGATATATAATACAATGAATATAATGAAATGAATATTGAAATATGAACAATAGTGAATCCTAGTTTCTAGGCTTTTCTTTTGTAGTGGTATGAATTAGCAATTTTGAAACTGTTTTTTGTCAGTTCTAGGACTGAACAAATGAGTAAGTGTATTGAGGATAATGGGAGTCAAGTTTTTTCATTGTTGGAGAAAGGAGTTTTATATATGGAAAAGAGAAAAGGCTGAAATAAACCCTGTGATGTTGGATTTGAATTGGAAGTTGTGGTTTTTAATATCTATTCATATCTATGCAATAATATTAATCTATATTTAAATATTAAATATCTGTATAAATATAAATACACATATATGTATATTTTCATATAGATATACATATATAGGCACATATATGTGTGTATGCGTATACACTGACATACACATTTATATATATATATATAAAAGGTTATATATATATATATAAAAGGTTATATATATATATATATATATATATATATATAAAAGAAATATATATATATTCCAACTTTGTTTGCTAAGAGGACCTAGAAGCAATTACTTCACCTCTTTTTTTTTGAGATGGAGTATTGCTCTGTCACCCAGGCTGGAGTGCAGTGGCATGATCTTGGGTCACTGCACCCTCCACCTCCCAAGTTCAAGTGATTCTCCTGCCTCAGCTTCCCAAGTAGTTGAGATTACAGGCTCCTGCCACCATGCCTGGCTAAATTTTGTATTTTTAGTGGAAACATGGTTTTTACCATGTTGGCCAGGCTGGTCTTCAGCTCCTGACCTCAAGTGATCCTCCCACGCCTGCCTTCCAAAGTCCTGGGATTACAGACGTGAGCCACTGAGCCTGGTCACTTCTCCTCTTTCTTAACCCATTTGTGCTGCTGTAACAGAATACCTGAGACTGGGTAATTTATAAAAACCAGAATTTTATTTTCTCACAGTTCTGGTGGCTGGAAAGTCCAAGATCAAGGTACTGGCAGGTCCAGTTGTCTGTTCCGGAGAAGAGGAACACAGTGTCTTCACATGGCCAAAAAGTGGAAAAGCAAGCTAGCTGAAGCTGCACGAAGCCTTAATCCCATTCAGGAGGGAGTAGCCCTCCTGGCCTAATCACTCCTTAAGTGCTCCACCTCTTAATACTGTAACATTGGTAACACTTGAATTTTGGGGGGGACCTATTCAAGTCATAACACCCTGTAACAATTAACACACATAACTAAGAACATATTTCAATATGGACTGTAGACATATAGTAAGTTTTTTTTTTTTGAGATGGAGTCTTGCTCTTTCTCCAGGCTGGAGTGCAGTGGCGCAATCTCGGCTCACTGCAAGCTCCACCTCCCGGGTTTAAGTGATTCCTCTGCCTCAGCCTCCTGAGTAGCTGGGATTGCAGGCATGCACCACCACGCCTGGCTAATTTTTTGTATTTTAGTAGAGAAGGGGTTTCACCATGTTGGCCAGGATGATCTCGATCTCCTGACCTTGTGATCCACCCACCTCGGGTCTCCCAAAGTGCTGAGATTACAGGCGTGAGCCACTGAGCCCGGCTGTTATATAGTAAATTTAACATTGGTACTGATTTGCTTAGCTATATTATGGTTATCTAAGCAAATATTCTTGTTCCTAGGAGAACATACAAAAATATTTAGGACTAAAATGGTATATAGTGTGTTTGCAGCTTACTCTCATATGGTTCAGAAAAAAATGTATGAGATGGACCTGATGCGGGCTCACGCCTGTAATCCCAGCACTTTGGGAGGCCGAGAATGGGAGTCCAGGAGTTCAAGATCAGCCTGGGCAACATAGTGAGACCCCATCTCAAGAAAAAATGAACGAGAAAGAGAATGATAAAGCAAATCAGATGAAATGTAAATAATTGATGATCTTTGCAAATTTTCTTTAAATTTGAAATTATATAAAGTTAAAAATTTACCTAACATTTTTTCATGTATCTTAGTTGTAATCCAATTTGACTTCATTTATAGAATTCACAGAAATGACAAAAAATTATTTAAAGAAAGTAAAGTAGCAAAGGAAATGCTGATCATGCAGAAAAATTTCAAATTGTTGGCATACAGAGAAGAACCTGATTTTTTTTTTTTTTCTTTTTGAGGCGGAGTTTCACTCTTGTTACCCAGGCCGGAGTGCAGTGGCACAATCTCGGCTCATCGCAACCTCCGCCTCCTGGGTTCAAGCAATTCTCCTGCCTCAGCCTCCTGAGTAGCTGGGATTACAGGCATGTGCCATCACGCCCGGCTAATTTTTGTATTTTTAGTAGAGACGGGGTTTCTCCATGTTGGTCAGGCTGGTCTCGAACTCCCGACCTTAGGTGCTCCACCCACCTCGGCCTCCCAAAGTGCTGGGATTACAAGCGTGAGCCACCACGCCTGGCGAGAAGAAACTGACTTTTTTGTTTGTTGTTCTGTCATTGCATAGTAACCTCAAGCACCTCATGTTCTATATTTATTTGCTTTAAATATTTTTAAAATAGGTAGTTCAAAGATTTCCTAAACATTTCTTATTTAGTAAGTTTTCTTAGGAAGGGGCACTTTGTAAAAATTAGATGGCCTTTGTTCTAGACAGTTGTACCCTTTTATATTGGTGTTAATCCATTAATCCTACTCATGTGGGCAGAGCCCTCATGGTCTAATTATCTCTTAATGGTCCCACCCCCCCCACTACCATTACAATAACAATTAGATTTCAACATGAGTTTTTGGAAGAGACAAACATTCAAATCATAGCAAACTGCAAGCACAAGAGTATGGATGAATTTCATAGACAATATTGAGTGAAAGAAACCAAACAACAAAAGGATAATATTGTATGATTCTTTTTAATAAAATTCAATATAAGCAAAACACATCATGATATTAGAAGTTAATTAAGATAGTGGTATCTTTGGTAGGGGAACAGGAAGTGACTGGAAGCAGGAACATAGAGGAGCTTCTAGGATGCTACTAATGTTCTGTTTTTGATCTGGATTCTAATTATATGTGTTTCTTTGTGAAAAGTAATTGAGCTCTACACTTTGTATGCTTCTTTCTACATATGTCATACCTTAATAAACTATTTTTAAAAGGATTTTTGTATCATATGTAAATCTGTTACTAAGGACACTTTTAAGTGTGTTTCTCATAAAATGCATTTGTTAAGTTCCTCTTTTGGAGGTGGGAAGAGATGTGGACAAAAAATTAGGCTTCCTTTTGTTAGTCAGCTGTATGTAACTCATTTCACATCCCTTTGTGTCTTACTGCCTTAATTCTTAGAGTTAATTTTTGTGTCCAGTTATACTTTTTCACTTTATGAAGTATTAATGAGTGAATGAGTGAATAGTCTTATTTTAAGTCTTTTTTAATTTGCCAAATTTCTTAGTGAAAAATTCTAAGTACAGTGTTTGAAGGTAAATGGCAATTGAAGATATGGCTATTATTGTCAAATTTCTTTTTGAAAATGTTCTAGGGCCAGGCGCGGTGGCTCACGCCTGTAATCCCAACACTTTGGGAGGCTGAGGCAGGTGGATCACGAGGTCAGGAGTTCGAGACCAGCCTGGCCAACATGGTGAAACCCTGTCTCTACTAAAAATACAAAAAATTAGCTGGGTGTGGTGGCGAGCACCTGTAATCCCAGCTACTCAGGAGGCCGAGGCAGGAGAATCACTTGAACCCAGGAGGCAAAGGTTGCAGTGAGCTGAGATCGTGCCATTGCACTCCAGCCTGGGCGACAGTGTGAGACACCGTCTCAAAAAAAAAAAAAAAGAAAATGTTCTATTAGGTTTATTTAGTACATTTTTATTAGCCACCTTCCATTTTAGTGACATCTGAGAGGCAATATATACCTCCATACTAACAGAAGGAAAACTTTTTAGTTTAAGTTGTTTTTATATTCAGAAGTTAGAGTTGTTGGAATTCCACTTTTCAAATGCTGCAGTTTCCATGAAGTCTTTTCTTGTTTCTTCTCTCAAGTCAGTGATCTCATCCCCCTCTTAAGAAATGTTGCAATTTGTGCCTCTCTTAAACCATTTGCTGTATTTTGTCATACAGGCTTTTAATATTCCTTTTCTTGATTATGAGAACCTAGAGCTTAGAGATTATGTCAGTAATTTTCTGTACTCCTCTTAATACTGAGTATTGTGACTATATTACACACAGTAGGTTCTCTATCAATAGTTTATCCCAATTGCTGTGTTTCTTTTCAATTTTTTTTTTGTTTTTTTTTGGAGACGGAGTCTTGCTCTTGTTGCCCAGGCTGGAGTGCAATGGCGCGATCTCGGCTCACTGTAACCTCCGCCTCCCAGGTTCAAGTGATTCTCCTGCCTCAGCCTCCCGAGTAGCTGGGATTGATTACAGTCACCTGTCACCATGCCTGGCTAATTTTTTGTATTTTTAGTAGAGACAAGGTTTCGCTGTGTTGGCCAGGCTGGTCTCAAAACTCCTGACCTCAGGCGATCCACTTGCCTCGGCCTCCCAAAGTGCTGGGATTAACAGGCGTGAGCCACTGTGCCCGGCCCGAATTGCTGTGTTTCTAACCTTGAATACCATTTCATAGTTTAATTTTGCTTGTGTAATTTTCTTTGTACATCAAATATTTAATATATAGCTGAATAGATACTCTGTGACCACTTTCCGTTTTTGAAAGCCAAATCCCAGTTCTGTAACTGTCATTCTACAATATTTACCCTCTTGCCAGCCACATATTTTCTTTGGGGACAGAAATAAATATGCAAAACAAATTCCAAGCCAACTTTTTTTTTTTTTTAAACACTTTGCAGAAACTACTGTTTGCTACAAGAAAATAAATGGAATTTTTTGTTTAAGTTCTTGTGAAAATGGAAATAAATATAGGACTGTGGGATTAAACATGGAGATTCTCTAGAGTGTTTTGAAGAAGTTTCCCTTATATTCCAGTGATCTCTGGGGTTCATTTTCCCTACAGCTTTGACAATATGTCTGTCTCTTTCTGTTTATTTCTCGTAAATATTCCTTCCTATCAGTACCACACGAATCCATCTTTTTTTTTTTTTTTTTTGAAACAGGGTCTCACTCTGTTGTCCAGGCTGGAGTGCAGTGGCGTGATCACAGCTCGCTGCAGCCTTGACCTCCCAGGCTCAACCTATCCTTCTGTCTCAGCCTCCGGAGTAGTTGGGACCACAGGTGCATGTCACCATACCTGGCTAATTTTTAAAGTTTTTTGTAGAGGCGAGGTTTCCCTATGTTGCTCAGCTTGGTCTTGAACCCCTGGGCTCAAGTGATTGTCCTGCCGAGGCCTCCCGAAGTGCTGGGATTACAGGCATGGCCCAAATTGATCCTTCTTGACACAGCTCTTCCTGTTTTGGGCCCCTTGAATGCTAATTACTGGTCTTACTAGGGATATGTGTAGAATGGGATTTGTGGGAGTTGCTCTCAATAAATAACAATATCCTATTTGTCTCTCTCTCTCTCTCTCTCTCTCTCTATATATATATATATATATGTATATATGTGTGTGTGTGTGTGTGTGTGTGTGTATATATATATATATATAGTATTTTATTTCAAAGATTGAATAATTTACCTGTAGATATTTGAGTTTTATATAGGGGAATTATTTGTCACGTATTAGAGAAAATTGTGGTTCTACATTAGTGTGTGGATCTTACAGTTACTGGAGTAACTTGGAGTGATCATCTTCAGTATATCATTATAATAAAGTCTTGTTTTATGGGGAAAATTGGGACCTCTTTATTTTGTGTGTGTTTTGTTTGGAGTTACTATTTCAGCGCAATGCAGCAATAATTATGTTACAACAATTTTGTGAGATGTTTATTATTCTCATTTTACAGATGAGGAAACTGAGGCTTGGTGAAGTTACGAAACTTGTCCAAAATCACACAACTTGTAAAGGGCACAGCCAAGATTCAGAGCCAGGTCTGTCCAACTTCAAAACTCTTAATCATAACCATGAATCTGAAATAGCTGTGAAGTATCAACCTGTGATAAGTTGTGTTAGTATTAATATTGCTTAACTGTTGTTTAACAATTACTGATAATATTTTTAATGCTGAGTGTTTTTGTCCTTTATAATAATTTCACATATCTTTTCAATATTGTGAAAAGCAGTATAAATGGTATTTAAGGGTCTAGTCTCTGGAGACAGACTACTTGGGTATGAATCCTTTAGCCTCTTCATTTACTTGTTGTGTGACATTGGGAAAGTTACTTAACTTTTCCATACATCAGTTTTCCTATCTGTAAAATTGTGATGGTAATATTATCCACCTGACAGGGTTATTGTAAAGATTGAATGATTTAATACATACAAAGCATTTACAACAATGCCTGGCACACAGTAAGCATTCAGTGAATGGCAGTGATTAGTATTATCATCTCCTAGCAACCAGTAAAGAAAATTATCATAATATCTAATTCTGTATTAGGAAATATGGATAAAGCAACGTTTAGGCAGCAATGTAGGGTATGACAAAACTTACATAAACCAAAATTAAACTTGAATAAGTTAGATCTAAAGAATATCATTCATTCTTTCAAATTCAGGTCTATTGTAAAGCAAATTGGGCAACTGCTTGTAGATCTCACATGTACAAGAGCCTTACATATATAAGGGCCATACATAGGACCACTAGAAGTACCCATTGAGCCTAACATGGTCATTGCATTATGAATGTGTTTTGTCTGCCTTCCCCTTCAGAATGCAATTTGTATTTAGAATAAATGTCCATATTTTCAGGTAGCTTTTAAGGAGATGGTGTTTTGGCAGCCTTGACAGAAAATTACCAAGAACCAAAACCTCATGTATTACATAAAATGTTGGCAGCGTTTTATCACTTGCAGGAGTGCTTATTAGAACTTTCACTATGGTGAATGTGCACACTGAATGACCTTTGAACCAGTGGGACCACAGCACATTCAACTAGAACTCAGCCATGAACTGATCATGTATTCTTTTCTCATACTTGTTTATTGTAGCTGTCAGAATCCTAAAGTGCTGATTAACTATTACTACAATTTCATTAAAGTAAGGTATCTATGATTATTTACTAATAGTAAGTTTATATCTGTTGCATAAATATCCATGAATGGGAGATAATTTGAGCAAAATTATACAAAAATTCAAAAGCTATTTAAAGAATGGGACCTGCCTTGTATGAACCCCAGAGCTCTGTAGCTTTATTTTTTTAATTTTTAATTTTTTTCTTATGGAGACAGAGTCTTGCTATGTTGCCCAGGCTGGTCTGAAACTCTTAGGCTCGAGCAGTCCTTCCACCTCAGCCTCCCAAAGTGCTGGTATTACTACCATGCCCAGCCTATAGCTTTTATTCTACACATACATTTAATTTATTTCCTTCTTTTATGGTATTGAGACTTACTGTCCTTGATCGTAGAATATCTTTTTGGTTATTTAGATATTTAAAATATTTTTCAGTAAATTCGCTTTCTCTTTTTTCCATAAAGAAAAATAAGATGGCCAGGCATGATGGCTCACGCCTGTAATCTTAGCACTTTGGGAGGCTGAGATGGGCAGATCACTTGAGGCCAGGAGTTCAAGACCAGCCTAGCCAACATGGTGAAGCCCCATCTCTACTAAAAAATACAAAAATTAGCTGTGTATAGTGGCACACGCCTGTAATCCCAGCTACTTAGCAGGCTGAGGCACGAGAATTGCTTGAACCTGGGAGGTGGAGGTTGCAGTGAACCGAGATCACGCCACTGCACTCCAGCCTGGGTGACACAGCGAGATTGTCTTAAAGAAAAAAGAAGAGACCTTATTTCTTGTTACTATTGTGAATGGTGTATTTTTCCTCTTTGTTTTCTTTGCATCTTCTGTTTTGTTTCTTTCCCATGCTTTATTTCTTTCTCTTGCCTTAACTATGTTATTTAGGACTTTCAGTACAGTATTCAGTGCAAGTGTTAATAGTAGGCATTCCTTTGCTTGAGCCCAGGAGTTTGAGATCAGCCTGGGCAACATAGCAAGACCCCATCTCTAAAATAAATAAATAAATAAAAACTAGGCAGGTGTGGAGGTACAACATACCTGTAGTCCCAGCTATTCAGGAGGCTGAAGTGGAAGGATTGCTTTAAGCCCAGGAGGTTGAGACTGCAGTGAGTCATGATCGTGCCACTGCACTGTAGCCTGGACAACAGAGCAAGACCCTGTCTAAAAAAAAATAGTGCGCATTCTTATGTTGCACTTAATTTTTTAAAGGAAGTACTTATTTTGTTTCACTATTATGACTAAGGTTTGCTATATATATATGTATGTGTATTTATTTTTATTATTTTTTTAAAATTTTTATTTATTTGAGACAGGGTCTTGCTCTGTCACCCAGGCTGGAGTGCAGTGGTGCAATCTCAGCCCACTGCAACCTCAGCTTCCCAGGTTCAAGTGATCTTCCCACCTCAACCTCCTGAGTAGCTGGGACTATAAGCGGGCATCACCATGCCTGGCTAATTTTTGTACTTTTAGTAGAGATGGGGTTTCACCATGTTGGCCAGGCTGGTCTCGAACTCCTGACCTCAGGTTATCCGCCTCAAGTTATCCGCCCACCTCAGCACGGTGGCACAGGCTTGAGCCACCATGCCTGGCCTGCTATATATTTTTGATAGAAACTTTTTCTAGGTTAAAAGCATTTCTCTTCCTAGTAGGCCAAGATATTTTTTGTGTGAAGAACGAGTATTGAATTTTATCAAACATGTTTTCTGCATTTACAAGATGATCACATAGTTTTCCTCCTTTATTCTGTTAATGTGGTGAATGACATTTATAATGTTGAATTGCTGAAATCCAACTCTGTCATGATGGACTTTTTAGAAAAAAATATACAGTTGGATTTAGTTTATTAATTTGTTTTGTTTTTAAGAGATGGGATCTTGTTCTGTCACCCAGTCCGGTGCAATGGTATGATCTTAGCTCACTGTAACCTCGAACTCCTGGGCTCAAGTTTTCATCGCACGTCAGCCTTCTGAGTAGCTGGTACTACAGGGGTGCACCATCATGGCTGTCTACTTTTAAAATTTTTAGTAGAGATGAGGTCTTGCTATGTTGCCCAAACTGGACTTGAACTCCTGGGCTTAAGCAGTCCTTCCACCTCAGCCTCCCAAAGTGTTGGGATTACAAGCATGAGCCACTGCACCTGGACTGTTAACGATTTTTGCATCTATGTTCATTCACAGGTGAAATTGGCCCATAATTTTAATTTCTTGTCCTTAGTTGGTTTTGGTATCCAGGTTATGCCAGCCTCAAATAATGAGTTAGAAACTATTTTTTTCCCCCTGAAAAGATTTATTTAAGACTAGAATGATCTTTTTAAGAAAGTTTTGTTGAACTTCTGTTCAACTGTCTGGGCATGGTATTTTTCGGGGTGATGGGTTTAATATTTTGCCGGGCAGGTATGCAGTATTCTAAATGGTTTCATTTAGGATTGTGTTTCTAGTTAGGTCAGTTTTTAGAGAGTGTCTTTTTGTAGGAATTGAACCATTTTGTCTGAGCTTTTTTTTTTCTTCTTTTTCTTTTTGAGACAAGGTCTCTGTTGTCCAGGCTGGAGTGCAGTGGTATGATCTGGCTCACTGCAACCTCCACCTCCCAGGCTCAAGTGATTCTCCTGTATCGGTCTCCTGAGTAGCTGGGACTACAGGCACATACCAATGTGCCTGACTAATTTTTTGTATTTTTCATAGAGATGGGATTTTGCCATGTAGGCCAGGCTGGTCTCAAACTTCTGACCTCAGGTGATCCACCGGCCTCAGCCTCCCAAAGTGTTGGGATTACAGGCATGAGCCACTGCACCCGGCTTTATTTATTTTAAATTTTTCTTTTTTTAATAGAGACAGGGTCTCACTATGTTGCCCAGGCTGGTATTGAACTCCTAGACTCAAACGATCCTCCTGCCTCAGCCTCCCAAAGTACTGGGATTACAGGCATGAGCCACTGCACCCAGCCCATGATCACTCTTTCCAGTGGCCTTTTCTCCACTTTTTGATAACAAGTTTTAATGAGTAACCAATATGCTATGTCATTGAGACTTGCTGAGGTTCTTGGAAGGCTGATTTTCTATTTATAATAGAGTGATAGGCCAGGTGCAGTAGCTCACACCTGTAATCCCAGCACTTTGGGAGGCCGAGGCATGTGGGTCACTTGACCCAAGGAGTTCAAAACCAGCTTGGGTAACGTGTGGCAAAACCCCGTCTCTACAAAAAATAGCTGGGCATGGTGGTGCGCACCTGTAGTCCTAGCTACTTGGGAGGCTGAAGTGGGAGGATCACCTAGTCTGGGAGGTCACAACTGAAGTGAGCCATGATCACACCACTGTACTCCAGCCTGGGTGACAAGAGTGAGATGCTATCTCAAAGGAACAAAATTAGATGATAATTTTCTTTTTCTTTCACCTTCTGTTTCTCCTCCTCCCCCTTTTCCTCCTCTTTTCCCTCTTTCTCTCACACTTTAACATCTCTGGAACTGGGAATCGTCTCCCATTGGGATACATCTTACTATTGTGATATTTCACAGTAAATGAACAATTCTTAAACAATTTTGGTAGCATTTTTTTTTTGAGACAAGGTATCACTCTGTCACCTAGGCTGGAGTGCAGTGGTAAGATAATGGCTCACTGTAGCCTCTTCCTCCTTGGCTAAAGTGACCCTCCCACCCCAGCCCCCCAAGTAGCTGGGACCACAGGCACACAGCACCATGCCTGGCTAGTTTTTGTATTTTTTGTAAAGATGGGATTTTGCCATGTTGTCCAGGCTGGTCTCGAATTCATGGGCTCAAGCAATCCACCCACCTCGGCTTCCCAAAGTGTGGGGATTACAGGTGTGAGCCAGCGCACCTGGCCTCCATTTTTTCTTTTTCAGTGGAACATAAAATAGTGGTACATCTTATCATCAGTAGTATATTCGTTTTGAGGAAATACATATATTTACATACATAGCATGACTTTTCATCCTACCTCATTCCCTGTTTGAAATGCCCCTTTTCTGTCTCTTTCATTGTGTTCTTATATCATTCAAGACCTTGAGGTCTTGATAAAGTTATTTTAAAATAAAAAAATTTCCATCCTGGCTCTTCTAGTACCTAGCACAATACTTTGTTGGATACAGAATATTATTTAATTAACAATTGATGGGAGCTAAATGATAAGAACTTATGAACACAAGGAAACAACAGACACAGGGGTCTACTTGAGTGGGGAGGGTGGGAGGAGGGAGAGGAGCAGAAAAGATAACTACTGGGTACTGGGCTTAATACCTGGGTGTTGAAATAATATGTGCAACAAACCCCCATGACACGTGTTTACCTATGTAACCTTCACATGTACCCCCAAACTGAAAATAAAAGTTAAAAAAAAAAAGAAATTCTGAAACATCAAAAAAATCAAAGGAAGAATCTATGTATAATCATAGCACAGGCTTTGACATATTTATATTAGTGAACAATTAGCTTCTTGGTCAAAGGAGGAGAATACTTAACATTTACATTAGTTAAGATTATTTTGGATAGAAAGGACAGAAGCCAATGCTTTCTACCTTTAGCAAGTTAGATAACTTATTGAATGGATGCTGAAGCATCTGATGATCAAGGAAGAGCTGAAGCAATGAAACAAAGTAATTAGAAACTATAGGCCATGTGCAGTGGTTCACACCTATAATCCCAGCACTTTTGGAAGCTGAGGCAGGCATGTCGCTTGAGCTCAGGAGTTCAAAACCAGCCTCGGTAACATGGCAAAACCCCATCTCTACAAAAAAACACAACAATTAGCTGGGTGTGGTGACATGCACCTATAGTTCCAGCTACTCGGGAGGCTGAGATGCGAGGATCGCTTGAGCCCGGGAGGTTGAGGCTGCAGTGAGTGAGATTATGCTGCTGCACTCCAGCCTGGGTGACAGAGTGATACCCTGTCTCCAAATAAAATAAAATAAGATAAAAGATAAGATAGACCCTGTCTCCAAATAAAATAAAATAAAATAAATTGTGAAGGAAATGAAAAGAGTAGTATAATAAAGAATTATAGAGGATGGTATTTAGAAAGTAGAAAAAGACGTCAACTTTTAGGTTGAGAGTGAAGAATGAGTGGGAGACCAATGTACTGTTGAAGGGTCTGGGAGAAGAGTATTTCAGAGAGAAGGAAACAACAGGCCTAGAGTGAGAATGAGCTTGCAGTTAACTGAAAGGATCATAAAGAGTTAGTTGGGAAAAATGCCACCTCAAGGCAAGAGAGACATGCAGGGGCCATACCTTTTTTGTTTTGTTTTGAGATGGAGTCTCACTTTGTCACCCAGGATGGAGTGCAATGGTGTGATCTCAGCTCACTACAACCTCTGCCTCCCGGGTTCAAGTGATACTCCTGCCTCAGCCTCCCGAGTAGCTGGGCTACAAGGTGCCCGCCACCACACTTCGCTAATTTTTTTGTATTTTTAGTAGAGACAGGGTTTCACCCTGTTGGCCAGGCAGGTCTCGAACTCCTGACCCCAGGTGATCCACCTGCCTCGGCCTCCCAAATTGTTGGGATTACAGGCATGAGCCACCGTGCCCAGCCGGGGCCATACCTTTATATGCTAACATGTACTGTGTATTTGTGATGTTCTGATACTATTGTAAGCACCACTTCTTGAGCAGTGTGAATTATTATGCCATACTGACTCACTGAATAGTGAGAGTTTGGATTTTATTTGAAGATACATTGGAAAGCCATGGAACTATTAAGCAATGCCATGATCCATTTTACATTTTTAAAGATTACGGTGGCTAATCTGTACATAGTTGATGAGAGAGGGACAACAGAGGACATAGAAATAAATACTAGTGGCTTATGCTAGTCCAGGTAAGAGGCAAAGTTATCTTGGACTATGGGTGGTGGAGATTAAGTGCAGTGGATAGTTTTGAGATATATTTTAGAAGTCTTTTGTTGATGGCTTGGATAAGGGGAGAGTCGGGGGTGAGGGAAAAAGAGAGGAGCAAGACAAGAGAGGACTAAAGAATTGAAGAGATAATGTGTAAATATTTTGCCAAGTTATTTGTCAGTAAAGGGAAGCAGAGCTGTTTTTAACAGCTTATTTCTTATTTCTGTAATTTTTTCAGTGGCATTTTTTCTCTCTCCTACCCCATTGCCTCCACCACCTCCCCATTCTTGGAATCAAATATATTTTTATTCTAATCTCTCTCTCCAGATTCCAACACCTTTTTCTCATCCCACACTTGACAGATGCAGGAGGAAAGCTAGTGTAAAAAGTAGGCTAGCATCCTCAGCAATTCTGCCCTTTTTCATCAAGATGTTCCTTGCTAAATCAATCCTTGCTATATCAAAGCAAAATTATTTTGTTTTATAAATAAAGGTTTAATTCTTAAAGTAATACTATTCTAATGAAGTCAGTCTGTATATATGTGTATTGTGGAGTTTGGGGTGATGGCTATATGTATTTTTATCTCTAAAGTCTTAACATGCTTTATTGTTATTATTATTACTGTTTTGAGGCAGATTCTCTGCTGCCCAGGCTGGAGTGCAGTGGCACAATCTCAGCTCACTGCAGCCTCTGCCTCCTGGGTTCAAGTGATTCTCGTGCCTCAGCTTCCTGAGTAGGTAGAATTACAGGCTAGTGATAATTATTCATTAAGAAATAGTAAGCAAGATATCATAATTATGTGTTTTCGTTTTTCCAAATTCATTTTTTAAAAAAGAAAGTGACAAGATACTTAGACCCTAAACTGGCTGACACTTTCAGTCTTTTCTCTTACTGGGCAACAGAATGGTACAACAATAAATAGCTGCCCAAAGAGCAAATAAACTTGTACTAGATCTATTTAGACAGAGGTTGGATGTCCTCTTTTAATGGAAGTTGTCAGTGGTTCCTTTGTCAGTGGGAGGTTGGACTATTACACTGTCAGTCTCTTCCAGCATCGATGGTTCTTTGGTCTTGTATGTTGAGACTTTTCCTACCTAGTGACATAGCCTCTACTGTGGTGGGCGTCTGTTTTATCTTTCAATTCTTCAAATTTATAGTATGCTATATATGACAGGCAGTGTGTTATGATGCAAGGGTATATTTAAACAAATAAGATACAGTCAACCATTAAGGAAATAGGAAATTACTATAAGGTTGATGCATACAATAATAGAAGTAAGAAGAAGGTATTAATCCGAATTATATGAAGTGGAAGGACCTAACCAAGCCAGGTAGGGGCTTGTCAAAAAAAAAAAAAAAAAAAAAAAGTCTAGCTTTCCTGAAGAGGTTAACTCCTGAGCTGACTCTTTAAAGATGAGTAGACTTTAACCAGACATGCACAGGTAACGATATTTCTTTCTAGGCAGAGGGAGGAACATATACAGAGGCTCTGAAAGAGGGCATGCTTTGTTTGGAGAACTGTAAGTAGTTTAGGGTAGCTGGAGGTTAGCATGTGAATGGGGACTGGTGAGAGAAGCCAGAGGAAGAAGGACTGTGTTTACCATGCATTTGAACTTTGTCTTGAAGGTGGTGTGAAGCAATTGAAGGGTTTTCAACAGAGTGGATACATGGTCAGATTTGTGTTTTAGAACATATTGGGATGGAGCTCTGTTAAAGGTAAAGAGACTAAAATACTTGAGTATCACTTATACTTGAGTATTTTGGTCTCTTTGCCTCTATGGAGCTCCATCCCAATATGTCTCTAAATTGTTTAAAGCAATAATTTAAAGAAAAATGTCTCAGGATAGTAGGACTGGAATAGTTGGGGAGAGGGATGAATTCAAGAGCTACTAAGGAGGTAAAATCAGTCCGGGTAAAATCAGGCCAGAGAAAGGCTGAGTGCAGGGATGATTTTCAGGTGTCTGGCTTGGCCGAGTAGGTAGGTGAGTAGTTGTCTTTGCTAAGACGAAGAAATGAAGAAGAAAGGAATCATAACAGGGTTTTTTTAGTTTGTTTTTTTTGGTGGGTTTTTTTTTTTTTGGGGGGGGCCTCAGGATAATTTGGAGCATGCCAACTTGAGTAAGGATATAGGTTTTTCATTTTCTTATACTTGTATTTGTGTCTGTTTTTGTTTTTTATGTTCCTTTATTTATTTACTTAATTTCTTTTTGAGACAGTCTCGCTCTGTTGCCCAGGCTGGAGTGCAGTGGCACAATCTCGGCTTACTGCAACCTCCGCCTCCCGGGTTCAAGCGATTCTTCTGCCTCAGCCTCCTGAGTAGCTGGGATTACAGGTGCGTGCCACCACGCCCAACTAATTTTTGTATTTTTTGTAGAGACGGGGTTTTACCATGTTGGCCAGGCTGGTCTCAAATTCAAATTCCTGACCTCGTGATTCACCTGCCTCGGCCTCCGAAAGTGCTGGGATTACACACGTGAGCCACTGTGCCCAGCCCATGTATGTTTTTAAAATGTGATATAAAAGAATATAACAGTATTTCCTTTCTTTCTTTCTTTCTTTTTTTTTTTTTGACAGAGTTTCTCTCTTTTGCCTAGGCTGGAGTGAAGTGGCGCGATCTTGGCTCACTGCAGCCTCTGCCCCCCAGGTTCAAGTGATTCTCCTGCCTCAGCCTCCCGAGTAGCTGGGATCACAGGTGCATGCCACCATGCCTGGCTAATTTTTGTATTTTTAGTAGAGACGGGGTTTCGCTATGTTAGCCAGGCTGGTCTCCAACTCCTGACCTCAAGTGATCCACCTGCCTCGGCCTCCCAAAGTGCTGGGATTACAGGGGTGAGCCGCCACACCCGGCCAACACTTTTTAGTTACAGAGTTGATAATGAAACTTGTACCTTTGTCATTTTTTTTATGTTACTATAATGATTATCGATATGGAAAGGCATTCTGATGTCATACTGCTTGCAAGAAATTCTTCTGGCCAGGTATGGTGGCTCACGCCTGTAATTCCAGCACTTAGAGAGGCCAAGGCGGGAGGATTGCTTTCACTCAGGAGTTTCAGACCAGCCTGATCAACATAGTGAGACCTTGTCTCTACTTAAAAGAAAAAAGAAAAAAGCCAGGTGTGGTGGCACATGTCTCTGTAGTCCCAGCTACTTGGGAGACTGAGATGGGAGGATTGCTTGAGCCAGGGAGATAAAGGTTGCAATGAGCTGTGATCACGCCACTACACTCCAGCCTTAGTGACAGAGTGAGACTGTCTGAAAAAAAATGTTTTTTCTCTAGATTTAGTCCTAGTAGCACATTTTTTTTCTTTAAGTGTGCTTATTTATTTACTTATTTTTGAGACACAGTCTCACTCTGTCGCCCAGGCTGTGTGATCTTGGCTCACTGCAACCTCCACCTCTTGAGTTCAAGTGATTCTTCTGCCTCAGCCTCCTGAGTAGCTGGGATTACAGGTGTGCACCACCACACCTGGCTAATTTTTGTAGTTTTAGTAGAGGCGGGGTTTTGCCATGTTGGCCAGGCTGGTCTTCAGCTCCTGACCTCAAGTGATCTGCCCATCTCAGCCTCCCAAAGTGTTGGGATTACAGGCATGAGCCATTGCACCTGGCTTTAAGTGTGTTTAAAGAAAACTTTATTTTATTCTTCATGACATCTTTTATAAGAACATGATTGTAATCCCTGCTTTGCTTAGTGTTTTCTAATAATGAGCCAAAAAGATTCCTAAATTTTAGTGTTTCAGAATGATTTTTTTCTTAATAACTATAAAAGTTTTTAGAAACTGTTAGCAGTCTATAATTTGGTCTACATGTACAAATTTCCATTTTCAGGGGTTGGAATGAATTTGAGAGGTAGATGGGTAGGCAGAATTTCTCATTGCTTTGTTATAACTAAAGTTCTTGAAATTTCTTAGGATAATATGTCTTTAAATCCTACTAGAAGTTATTGTTCTTACAAGGACTAGTATTGTAGTTGTCTTTTCAAAAAGTAAAATGATTTGTTTGTTTGAACTTAGTGTTACTCTAAGAGGAAATGTTCTATTCATTTTCCCTTTACACTGTGCTTACATGATAATTATATATTGCTTAAATAAAACCCAAAACCTTTAATTTTGGACATCAGATTTTTGGTTAGTATGGTAATCCAAAGTTTAAATATGTAAGAAGGTAATATTTCTTTTAAATATTTTTTTTCCTCTGTCTTCAGGCTGTAAAAATTAAAATGAACAAATTACGGCAAAGTTTTAGGAGAAAGAAGGATGTTTATGTTCCAGAGGCCAGTCGTCCACATCAGTGGCAGACAGATGAAGAAGGCGTTCGCACCGGAAAATGTAGCTTCCCGGTTAAGGTAAGAGCTGATGTTTCTATAAGTCTGTATGTGGAAAAGAACTGACAATCTAGTGTATGTGAAATCTCATTAATAAGGACAATTAAGAGAGTCTTCCAAAAAACAAATCCCTTCACATTCTGCTTCAATGATAGAATTAAAAGAGAAAGAAAGGAAAATAATGAGAAAGAAAACAGATAGATTTTAATTAGGGAGTTTTCTTTTTATATTTAAATATGAATTTCTCTATATAATGTGGAGTCAGTACAAATATTCTGATAAGAATACTAATCCTGAAATACCTAAAGACCCTAAATTATCAGGACTCAAATTTTCAGTGGAATATGCTTACTAACTGGTGAAGCTGAGGGAGTGGAAGTCAGCTCTCTTAAATACAAGTCTTGTTTATTTTAGAAATCCTTAAATGAGAAGAGTTAAATCAAAGGGAGTTTTCCTTAATGGTACAGAGGTCATTTAAACTAATGCCTTCATTTGTAAGATCAGAAAGTGGAAACTCACAGAGGTTAAGAACATAGTGAAGATCCTGAGAAGGCAGTGATGTACAGGTGCTTTTCTTTGTATTGCCTGAGACAGGTCATATTTTAGTGAAATGAAAGAAATATGTATGTTATTTACTATTTAGTAAAAAGAAGCAATATATTATGTAATCACAGTGTGAGATGTATTAAATGTGGGGGCAAAAAAATAGAACTAGACCAAATACCAAATGTTAATATCTTAAAGGAAAAATTGTAGTTTGATATAAAATGTTAATTTTTTTCTCTATTTACTATTTACTATATATTCCTTTTTTTTTTTGAGGCACAGTCTGTCTCCATAGCACAGGCTGGAGTGCAGTGGCATGATCTCAACTCACTGCAATCTCCACCTCCTGGGTTCAAGCGATTCTCTTGCCTGTGCCTCCTGAGTAGCAGGGACTACAGGCGTGCCCCACCATGCCCGGCTAATTTTTGTATTTTTAGTAGAGATGGGGTTTTTCACCATGTTGGCCAGGCTGGCCTTGAACTCCTGACTTCAGGCGATCCTCCCGCCTCAGCCCCCAAAGTGCTGGGATTACAGGCCTGAGCCACTGCACCCAGCCTATTTCCTATATATTCTTTTTTTTTTTTTTTTTTGAGATGGAGTCTTGCTGTGTCGCCCAGGCTGGAGTGCAGTGGCACCATCTCGGCTCACTGCAACCTCCGTCTCCTAGGTTCAAGCGATTCTCCTGTCTCAGCCTCCCAAGTATCTGGGACTACAGGCATGCACCACCACGCCCAGCTAATTTTTTTGTATTTTTAGTAGAGACAGGGTTTCACCACATTGACCAGGCTGGTCTTGAACTCCTGACCTCAAGTGATCTGCCTGCTTCAGCTTCCCAAAGTGCTGGGGTTACAGACATGATCCACCACACTCGGCCTATGTATTCTTATAAGTGTAAATATTCTTATGATTTTCTTCCTCCTTTTTACTGCCTCAGTACCACTGATTGAAATATGGGCTAAAGCTTCTGAAGGGAAAAAAAAAATCTTCCATATGACAGGAAAAGTGATTCTTAAATATACAGGTTAGAGAAATACATGGCTTTTTAAATACACTAATTTTTCCACAGTCTTTTAATAACTAGGAGTTTTCCTAATCACTTAGCTTTGTTTACTTAACTCATTTGCTGAAACTTTGTAGAAATAATATTTTAATTTTAAATGTTTAATATGACATTAAATCATGAGAAAAATCCTACTTCTCTTACATAAAAATGAACACTTTTTTTTTCTGTTATCTCCCCCACCATACAGTTGGCTTACTTTGGCTATATAAGTTGAGTATTACGTATGTAGAAGGAGGCACATTGGTTGCTTGGAGTATAAATTACAACCTCTTAGGGAGGCAGTTTGGAAATATCTATTAAGATTTTATTCATTTATTTATTTTTTTATTTTGAGATGGAGTCTCGCTCTGTTGCAAAGGCTGGAGTGACGAGATCTCGGCTCACTGCAACCTCCGCCTCCTGTGTTCAAACGATTCTCCTGCCTCAGCCTCCCGAGTAGCTGGGATTACAGGCCTGAGCCACCATGCCTGGCCTGTATTAAGATTTTAAATGCACTTTTCATTTGACCAGCAATTTTACATTTAAGAATTGCATTTAAGTACGTTTATAGATAATATTGGCATAAGTGGTCATCCTAAGATTTGTAATATCAAAAATTTGGAAACAACTTAAATTCCCATCATTCTGGAATTGGTTAAAGAAACTGTGACAGGCCAGGCACAGTGGCTGACACCTGTAATCCCAGCACTTTGGGATGCCGAGGCGGGCGGATCACCTGAGGTCGGGAGTTCAAGACCACCCTGACCAACATGGAGAAATCCCTTCTTTACTAAAAACACAAAAAAATTAGCTGGGCATGGTAGTGCTTGCCTGTAATCCCAGCTACTCAGGAAGCTAAGGCAGGAGAATTGCTTGAACCTGGGAGGTGGAGGTGGCAGTGAGCCCAGATCACACCATTGCACTCCAGCCCGGGCAACAAGAGTGAGACTCTGTCTCAAAAAAAAAAAAAAAAAAAAAAAAAAAAACAAGAAAAACTGTGGCATCCATTAAGTTGAATTCTTTGCAGTTTATTTTTTTAAAGTAAGGTAGATCTGTATTATGTATTTAATAAATATTTTTTGAACATCTGTCATATGCCAGGTATATGCTAGGTGGTAAGCAAAAAAGACATAGTTTCTGTTCTTGTGGATTTTACAGTCTTCTTGTGAGGGAAACAGACTTTAGTTAGATATTTGCATTAACAATATACTATTACAGGGCAGGCACGGTGGCTCATGCCTGTAATCCCAGCACTTTGGGAGGCCAGGGCGGGCAGATCACGAGGTCAGGAGATTGAGACCATCCTGGCTAACACGGTGAAACCCCGTCTCTACTAAAAATACAAAAAAAAAAAAAATTAGCTGGACGTGGTGGCGGGCGCCTGTAATCCCAGCTACTCGGGAGGCTGAGGCAGGAGAATCGCGTGAACCAGGGAGGCGAAGCTTGAAGTGAGCCGAGATTGTGCCACTGCACTCCAGCCTGGGCGACAGAGAGAGACTCTGTCTCAAAAAAAAAAAAAAAAAAAAAACATATATATATATATATATATATATATATATATATATATATATATATATATATGTGTGTGTGTGTGTGTGTATGTGTGTGTGTGTGTGTGTGTGTGTATATATATATTATTACAACCCAAGGTAAATACTTTTAAGAAAAGAAATCTGGTTCTGTAAGAACATGTAAGAAAAAAACTTGATCCTAGACTATAGGATCAGAGTAAGGCTTCTCTGCGAAAGTAAAGCTTGACCTGATATTTGAAGATTGAGTGGGAATGAATTACATGAAAAGGTGAATAGAGCATTAGAAAATTATGGAAAGCATGTATATGTAGGCACTGGGTGACAAGAGGAAAGAATGGTAAAGGAAAACTGTAATGCAGAAAGTTGTTTGAGATGACCCTGTAGGAAAGCAGGGCAGGGCTTTGTATCCATACTAAGGATTTTGTACGTGGGAAGCCATTAAATCGTGTGTTCTTTTCATTATTTATTAAGGTAGAGTACATATAACATAAAATTAATCCTATTAAGCATTTTATTTTATTTTATTTTATTTTTATTTTATTTTATTTTTTGAGACAGAGTCTTGCTCTGTCACCCAGGCTGGAGTGCAGTGGCGCCATCTCGGCTCACTGCAAGCTCCACCTCCCAGGTTCAAGCCATTCTCCTGCCTCAGCCTCCCGAGTAGCTGGGTCTACAGGCGCCTGCCACCACACCTGGCTAATTTTTTGTATTTTTAGTAGAGACGGGGTTTCACCATGTTAGCCAGGATGGTCTCGATCTCCTGACCTCGTGATCCACCCATCTCAGCCTCCCAAAGTGCTGGGATTACAGGCGTGAGCCACCGCGCCTGGCCCCTTGTAAGCATTTTTAAGTGTACAGTTCAACGGTATTAAGTATACTCATATTGGTGTGCAGTTATCACCACCAGTCATCTCCAGAACTTTTTCATCTTCCCAAACTCTGTAAATAGTTTTTTTTAAGCAAGAATGTGGTATTAGAAAAGCATTTTTTGTGTTAAGTATCTTACTTATTTAATTTAATTAATTAATTTATTTATTTATGAGACAGAGTCTTGCTCTGTTGCCAGGCTGGAGTGCAGTGGCGCGATCTCAGCTCACTGCAACCCCCGCTCACTGCAACCTCCGCCTCTAGGGTTCAAATGATGCTCCTGCCTTAGCCTCCCGAGTAGCTAGGACTATAGGCACGTGCCCCCATGCCCAGCTAATTTTTGTATTTTTAGTAGAGACAGGGTTTCACCATGTTGGCCAGGATTGTCTCGATCTCTTGACCTTGTGATCCGCCCGCCTCAGTCTCCCAAAGTCCTGGGATTGCAGGCATGAGCCACCGTGCCCGGCCATCTTATTTATTTTAAAAATGTATGTATTTATAGATTTAGGAGGTATAAGTGCAGATTCCTTACACGCATGTATCACATAGTGGTGAAGTCTGGGCTTTTAGTGTACCTGTCACCCAAATAGTGGACATTGTATTCAACTGGTAATTTTTCAATCCTCAGCCAACTCCAACCCAGAAAAGCACTTTGAAAAAATGACTTTGGCTGCAGTGTAGTTTGGAAGTAGCCCATGCTAGATACAAGGAGCCTAGCAAAATATTATCACAGTAATTCAAAGGATAGATAATGGTAGGTTAGACTAGGGTGGTGACTGTGAAGATGAAGAGAAATGAAATAAATTGATCGATAATTAAGAGGTAAAGTTAGGCTGTGCATGGTGGCTCACACCTGTAATCTCAACACTTTGGGAGGCCAAGGTGGGAGGGTTACTTGAGCCCAAGAGTTCGAGACCAGCCTGGGCAACATGGTGAGACCCCATCTCTACAAAAAAAAAAAAAAGCTAGATGTGGTAGTACACACCTGTCATCTGAGCTACACAGGAGGCTGAGGTGGGAAGGTCACTTGAGCCCAGTGAGCCATGATTGCACCACTGCACTCCAGCCTAGGGAACAGAGCGAGACCCTGTCTCAAAAAAAAAAGAAAAAAAAGTAGGTAAAGGTAATAGAAATTGGAGATGAACTGAATCTAAGGAATGAAAAAGAGTAGTATTAAAAATGACACAGGCTGGGCACAGTGGCTCATGCCTGTAATCCCAGCACTTTGGGAGGCTGAGGCAGGTGGATCATTTGAGGTAAGGAGTTCGAGACCAGCCTGGGCAACATGGTGAAACCCCATCTCTAATAAAAATACAAAAACTAGCCAGGCATGGTGTACATGCCTGTAACCCCAGCTACTCGGGAGGCTGAGGCAGGAGAATTGCTTGAACCCGGGAGGCAGAGGTTGCAGTGAGCTGAGATCACGCCACTGCACCCCAGCCTGGGTGATAGACCGAGACTCCATCTCAAAAAAAAAAAAAAAAAAGACACCTAGTTTCATATTGCCCTGAGCAGAGATGATGATCATTGACATAGGAAACACTGACTTCAGTGTGTGTGTGTGTGTGTGTGTGTGTGTGTATGTATGTATGTATGTATATATGTATGTATGTATGTGAGACAGAGCCTCACTCTCGCCCAGGCTGGAGTGCAGTGGTGCAACCACGCCTCACTGCTTCTGGGTTCAAGTGATTCTTGTGCCTCAACCTCTCAAGTAGCTGGGATTACAGGCACCTGCCACCATGCCCAGCTAGTTTTTTTTGTTTTTTGTTTTTTTTCTTGAGACGGAGTCTTGCTCTGTCCCCCAGGCTGGAGTGCAGTGGCGCGATCTTGGCTCACTGCAAGCTCTGCCTCCCGGGTTCACGCGATTCTCCTGCCTCAGCCTCCCAAGTAGCTGGGACTACAGGCACCTGCCACCACGCCTGGCTAATTTTTTGTATTTATAGTAGAGACGGGGTTTCACCGTGTTAGCCAGGATGGTCTTGATCTCCTGGCCTCGTGATCCACCCGTCTCGGCCTCCCAAAGTGCTGGGATTACAGGTGTGAGCCACCGCGCCTGGCCACCCTTTTTTTTTTTTTTTTCTTGAGATGGAGTTTCACTCTTGTTGCCCAGGATGGAGTGCAATGGCACGATCTCGGCTCACTGCAGCCTCTGCGTCCCAGGTTCAAGAGATTCTCCTAAGTAGCTGGGATTACAGGCGCCTGCCACTATGCCCAGCTAGTTTTGTATTTTTAGTAGAGATGGGGTTTCACCATGTTGGCCAGGCTGGTCATGAACTCCTGACCTCAGATGATCCGCCCACCTTGGCCTCCCAAAGTGCTAGGATTACAGGTATGAGCCACTGTGCCCGGCCTAATTTTTGTATTTTTAGTAGAGTTGGTGTTTCTCCATGTTGGCCAGCCTGGCCTTGAACTCCTGACCTCAGCCTGACCTCAGGTGATCTGCCCATCTTGGCCTCCCAAAGTGCTGAGATTACAGGCATGAGCCAGAGTGCCTGGTTCCAGTGTATTTATTATTAAGTGATAAGGGCAAGCTGCAGAACTATGTATATAGTATGATTTTGTTCAGTTAAAAGAAAAATATATATGATTATTGTGTTTAAGAAATATTAAGACACAAATAACTGCAGAATGAATATGGAGGATTGAAGATATTTTACTTTTTAGTCTGTGTCCTTTGGAACTAGTGACATTTCTTGTGAGCATATATCCTATTTATAATTTTTTTAACACTTCATTCACAGATTCTGAGAGGTTTGTATACAGTGTTGAAATAATTGAAGTAAAGTTAATTGAAGCACTTCTTCTAATCAGCTGTGAAATCTATAGCTTTTAAGTATGTTGTGTGAGATGAATAAGTTTTGATATCTTTCAGTGTAATTCTCACTTGTCATAAAATCAGCTAGATGGGATATGCTTTAGAGCAGTGGTCCCCAGCCTTTTTGGCACCAGAGACTGGTTTCGTGGAAGATAATTTTTTCATGGCCTGGGGTTAGGGGGCTGGGGCAGGTGGTTTTGAGAGGAAACTGTTCCACTTCAGGCCTTAGATTCTCATAAGGAGCGCACAACCTAAATCCCTCACGTGGGTAGTTCACAATAGAGTTCGCGCTCCTATGAGAATCTAACACTGCCACTGATGAGATAGGAGGTGGAGCTCAGGCAGTAATGCTTGCTCGCCCTCCGCTCACCTCCTGCTGTGTGGCCCATTTCCTAAAAGGCCACCGACCAGTATTGGGCTATGGCCCCTGGTGTTGGGGACCTCTGCTTTAGAGACTGTGCAGGGAGGGCAGCTTATTTAGAGTGCGTTTTGTTTTGTCCTTTCCAAATGGCTTTTTGAAATCCTTTCTGTAGGACATTCAGTGTCTCTGCTATGTTGTGTCACTCCTTCCCTCCCCAACTCATACACTTATATACAACTGACTCCCAGAGTACAATAGGAGAATCAGAATTTGGAATGTATTTTCCATATTCTCGAGGTAGATGCATTTCCTCAGTCAGATATAGCAGGGCAAAAGATGCCTCATTCTGCCTTGCCTTAGAGACCAGTGAGCTTGGAATACAAGGTTTTCCATGGTGGCAACTGGTAGGGTGTTGGGGGCACTCACTAAGGAATAACAAATTTGGGAGTAGAGAAAATGAGTTCCTTTTGAAGTTGCTATGGGACATGCACATGCAGATCCTCACTGACCAAGAAAACACCATGAGTTTTGATATGGGGGTTACAAATGTATTTTAGTGAGTAGGTAAATTTACAGATGCCAAATCCTTGAATGATGCGGACTGACCGTACATAAATTAAAGTTGTGGGTGGGTGAGATTGCCTAGGGAAAGAGAGAAGATGGCCTAGAACAAACCTTTGAAGAATACCAACATAGAGGGGACAGGCAGTGAAATAGGCTTGTTCAAAGGAGAGTGAGAGTGAATTGCCAAAGAGATCGAAGGGAAACCTGGAGAGTATGGTCTTAGAAACCAAAGTTTCAACATAGGAGAAAGTGGTCAAATGTTGTAAAGAGATCAAGTGAGAAATGAAACCTCATTAGATTAAAAACTTGAAAGTCTTGGTGACTTTGATGATAATGACAGCACTTGCAGTGCAATCCTGAGTATAGAATCCAGATTGAGGAGTGAATGGATGCAAAATAAGGAAGGAGACAACAAATCTAATTCAAGCTTGTCTGAAAATGTTGTATAAGGATGGGGGAGTGGTGGAAGGGAAGAATTACATGGGGCATAAGGAAACTTTGGTGGTGGTGGCTGTGTTTGTTGTTGATTGTGGTGATGGTTTCTCAGGTATATACATATTTGAAAAACTCAGCAAACTGTAGAGTTTAAATATGTACAGTTTCTTATATAAATATATTTCAGTAAAGCTGTTAAAATTTTTTGAATAAAAGTTTATCTTCAAAAAGCAGAGTAGTAGCAAAGATAGTGTGAGGTTAAGGAACATGTGAGTGTGGGGTGGGGGGTTAAAACCAGATTTATTAGAGACAATTTACATACCATGAAGTGTACTCATTTAAAGTGAATAAGTCTCAGCTACTTGGGAGGCTGAAGTGGGAGGATCACTTGAGCCTGGAAGGTAGAGGCTGCAGTGATCACGCCACTGCACCCCAGCCTTGATGGCAAAGCAAGACCCTGTCTCTAAAAAATAAAAAACAAAGTTAATAAATCACCTGTGATTTCCTTTTGTGTTTTGTTATTAAGATGGGAACTACTTGAGCATAATTAAATGCTTTTTACAAAGAAGCATGTAGAGAACGGATTAGTTTTAAAATGAAGGAAGAATGCTGCTTCTATTTTAACAGGAGCAAAGGTGGAAAATAGGCTGGAAATTCACCTCAGTTTGTGGTATTAGTGGCTTGAGATTGATGGAATTTTATTCTGAAGACTTATTTTCTCAAGGAAATAGGAAGTGAAGACAGATATAGAGAAGTTGAGGAACTGGATTTTGAGGACAATGAAATAGCTAGAGAATAGGAGAGAGAAGCTTATAGAAACATGAGCCATTACTAGCCATAATAAAGTGCAACTGCGGCTGGTTTCATCTTCACTGTGTATATTTAAATATATTAGTATCTATATAATTGGTAACAGTAATGATTAATTAAAGTAGGTTTCAGAGCTCGTCTTGCAATTCTATCTGCTGGTATAACAGAGATAAATTTTTTTTTTTTTTTTTGAGACAGAGTTTCACTCTTGTTGCCCAGGCTGGAGTGCAATAGTGCAGTCTCGGTTCACCGCAGCCTCTGCTTCCTGGGTTCAAGCAATTCTCCTGCCTCAGCCTCCCGAGTAGTTGGGATTACAGACATGTGTCACCACACCCAGCTAATTTTGTATTTTTAGTAGAGACGGGGGTTTCTCCATGTTGGTCAAGCTGGTCTCGAACTCCCGACCTCAGGTGATCCGCTCACCTCGGCCTCCCAAAGTTCTTGGGTTACAGGCATGAGCCACCGCACCCAGCCTACAGAGATAATTTTTTTAATGGAGAAGGGATTTTAATGTAACAAATGAAATATTACCCATAGGAAACTTAATCTAGTGCTTCTCAAAGTGAGATCCCAGAACTTTTTCAAGAGTTCTAAGCCGAGTATTAAATCACAACATGCCACTCTTCTCACTAAATTTCTTTGTTTTGGAAAATATAGTTATTTTTCATTAGAAATATGCTATTCAAGTTACCACACAATGGAGTTAATTATTTTAAAATGAATTAAATATCTTTAAATTTTTTTGTTTTTTTGGTTTTTTTTTGAGATGAAGTCTCGTTCTTGTCCCCCAGGGCGGAGTACACTGGTGCGATCTCGGCTCAATGCAACCTCTGCCTGCTGGGTTCAAGTGATTGTCCTGCCTCAGCCTCCTGAGTAGCTGGGATTACAGGTGCCTGCCACCACGCCCGGCTAATTTTTGTATTTTTAGTAGAGCTGGGGTTTTACCATGTTGGCCAGGCTGGTCTCGAACTCCTGACCTCAGATGATCCACCCTCGGCCTCCCAAAGTGCTGGGATTACAGGCTTGAGCCACTGTGCCCGGCCAAATGTTCTTATTTTTAATTTCTACTACAGCAATTATTAGTAGCTATAACTGACATAAACAAAAAACTCCTTGGGATCCTCAATGTAATTAAGTCCTGAGACCAAAAATTTCGAGAACTATTGATTTTTTTAAATCTTTTATTTTAGAGTCAGGAGTACATGTGCAGGTTTGTTACATGGGTAAATTGCATGTCACTGGGGTTTGGTGTCCAAATGCTTTGATCACCCAGGTAGTGAGCATGGTACCTGATAGGTAGTTTTTCGACCATCACCCTCCCACCTCAAGTAGGCTCCGGAGTCTGTTGTTCCCCATCTTTGTATCCATGTGTATTCACTGTTTAGCTTCCACTTATAAGTGAGAACATGAGATATTTGGTTTTCTGTTCCTGTGTTAATTCGCTAGGATAATGACTTCCAGCTGCATCCATGTTGCTGCAAAAGACATAATTTCAGGTTTTTTAATGACTTTATTGTTTTCCATGGTATATACATACCACATTTTCTTTTTCCAGTCCACCACTGATGGGCATCTACGTTGATTCCGTATCTTTGCTATTGTGAATAGTGCTGTGATGAACATAAAAGTGCATGTGTATTTTTGGTAGAACAATTTGTATTCCCTCGGGTATATACCCAGTAATGGGATTGCTGGATTTAAACAGTATGCTTCATCAATTAAAGTAATATACTAAGAATCTACCTGTAATTGTCTACTAACATATTTTTTAATGCTGGTATTATTTTTGATTGTTAATAAATTGGTAGAATCCTAGCTAATCATTTAACTTGTAATTAAAATCTTACCAGATTATGTAGAACATATGGCATGCTGAAGTGGATCTTCTATTGGGTAAATTCTGGAGGTCATTCTTCAGATTTGGAGAGATAGAGATTAAGGGGCTGAATGTAGGATTCATACTTATGTTATTTGGTCTCATTATTTTAACTCACTGTTAAATAAGATGGAAGGGCTTTCCTATCCCTTTGGTTTAGGGATATAAAGCACTTACTCAGTTGTTACTAGGAATTGTGCCAACATGTATAAATAGGATAGACCAGATGGAGAATTGAGCATATGGATGCTAGAAATGCATGTGTTTACCGCTTAAACCAACATTTTGCTCTATTAAGTGATTTGCCAAATGGTTTTGGAGACCACACCTTTCTGAGATAAGGACTGCCATTGTGCTAGAAATTAGAACAGATAGTATTTTTAGTATTTTAATAACAAGCATTTCTTATTTTGTGTGTAGCCATGTAGCCATAGCACAGAAAGTAGAGCTCTTATTATTTCAGTATTTCTCAGAGGCAAGTTCTGATCCAGTGGCTGACCTACCATGTAAAATGTAATAACCTGTGATTTCAGAAGATTTTGGTGCAAAGTATTATGCCAAATTAGAAGTAGCTGAATATAATTTATCAAGATAAAAGCAAAGATGCACAAAATAAAAAATAAAGTGGGAAAATAATCACAGACTGAAAATTTAAATTTTTATTATACAAATAAACTTGAAAACATAGATAAAGTTGGTAATACTCTTAGGTTATATAAATGACAAAAACTGATTCTAAAACAAATTGAAAATATAGATAGAACAATTCATGTAGAAGAAATACCATAAGATATTAAAGAGGTACCTTATCTTCTATCCCCAACTTAGGCAACCCCCAACCCCTAACATAGGCACCAGGCCCAGATCATTTCACACGAATACTATTAAAGCTTTACTACAAAGACAAAATTGATGCTTTATCTGTTTCCTAAAGCTTTATAAGTTTCTTTTATAAGCCTATAAATTCTTTTTACATACATAGTATTTCAAAACTTGATAGCATCCAAAAAGGAGACTATCTCCTTTTTGATATCAACACAAAGCTCTTGATAAAATATTAACAAACAGGAACCAGCAACCCAATTAAAGAGTATGTACCTTCACTCATTAGTATCAAATGACAGAATAAAGAAGCAAATGTTTTTTGTATTAGGATAAGGCAGCCCGTTACATACATACACACAGAGACTTCCCACTAATTCCCACTGACTAGGATTAGAATAAAATGCCCAAGCCATAGTTGTGAGGAAAGCTAAGGAAGCGATTACTTTGTATTTTCAGCCTGTACCATCAAGGGAGGTAGGTTCTTCCAGCGGGGAAGCTGGTTGAAAGAATGCCTGTCATGTAGGCAACTAACAATGTCAACCGTAGTTACTATATCATATTTATTCTTCTTAAATATCTATCCTTTTTGTCCTCTTGTTCATTTTCCTACTGCCACTACTTTAATCAGGTCCTTATCTTTTTTTCCCCCTTAGACCATTACAAGAACTCTACTACTCTTGCTTCCAATCTGTCTCTCCTCCAAACTGTTATCTCAGTGTTGTAGTAGTGATCTTCCTAATTGCAGATATGGTCTTGTCACTTACCTACCTCATGTTCTTCAGTGGCTCTGTAATAAAATCCTAGACTGGTATCTGGAACACTTTAAAAGCATATACTTTTGTGGTCAGGCACAGAGGCTCACACTTGTAATCCCAGCACTTTGGGAGGCCAAGGCAGGAGGAACACTTGAGCCCAGGAGTTTGAAGCCTCCGCAACATAGGGAGACTCCATCTTTACAAAAAAAAAAACAGAAAAAATTAGCCAGACATGGTGGCATGTGACTGTGGTCTCAGCTACTCAGGAGGCTGAGGTAAGGAGGTAGAGGCCGCAGTAAGCCATGATCGCATCACTGCACTCCTGACTGGGTGAGAGAGTAAGAACCTGTCTCAAAGCAAACAAAGCATACACTTTTAAGCTATACAACTTGAGTTTGAATTTGGGCTTTGCTCTTATTAGCTGTGTGCAAGTGTTCTGAGAGTTGAATGAGTAAATACAGTACATTAAAAACACAGCACTGCCTGGTACGTGATGAGTGCACAATAAACGTTAGTTGCTGCTGCTGCTGCTGTTATTGGTTAGATGCCAACTGAATACTGAAGGTTTTATCTGCATGTTTTTTCCTTCATTGAATTTTTAATACTAGAAATTAAATATCTTCTCTTGAATGTTGGCCTGAAGCTTTTGATAGATGTTTGGTACCTGACTGATAGGCATTGACCACACCAACCTGTTCTAGTATTAAAAATTCTGTTGTTTATCCCAGATAGGACATTTTCCAGTGCTTATAATTTTATTGCCTGTGTGACAATCTTCTGCACCTACAATAATGTTTCATTTCAAAGCTGCCTCACAGTGTAACTTTTTGGAAGATAACTCTGTGTGACAAGTAGTGATCCAAACTTAATGTCAGCCATGTGTAGTACCAATGAAATAAATCAAGTAAGGTTACAGTTGGTTGAGCAGATACATCGTCTTCATAGCTAAATTTGCTGGCATGCTGGCAAACATCATAATTTGCTCTTCTACCTGAAACAATACAAATTTAAAGAAATGGGGCCAGGGACAGTGGCTTACGCCTGTAATCCCAGCACTATGGGAGGCCGAGGCGGGAGGATCACTTGGGCCCAGGGGTTTGAGACCAGCCTGCAATATAGTGAGACCTTGTCTCTCTAAAACAAATTTTTTTTTTAAATTTAAAGAAATGTCTTTGCATCAGAGCAATGAGGTATTTGAGAGAAGTTCAACTTCGTTTAGTAACTCTTAAGGACTTATTTTCTTTGTGGCCTAGTATGCAGTAAGATTTCTGTTACATGATGTTGTAAGGGAATAGTTGGAATATCTGATTATTTGAAGGTAGGATTTGAACTCTAGTAGCTTTAGCTCTAGAGGGTTCTCTCCCTAAGTACTATATTGTAGTTTTATAATATAAAACTATCACTCATGACAGTTTAAAAATTGTTTATTAAACAATGTTGAATATAGTTTAAACTTTAAAATATTTTTTAATCAAAGTAATACAAGTTTGTGGTAACAAAACAACAGGCATGGTAACCTGTAATCCCAGGTACTCTGGAGGCTGAGGCAAAAGGATTGTTTGATGCCAGAAGTTCGAGGCTATAGGGGTCTGTGATCCTACCTGTACTGTACTTAGCCTCGGCAACATAGCAGACCTCATCAATCAATCAATCAACACTTTTCCTACCCCATTTCCATTCTATAGTGACACTTTTAACCATTTTTGTTTGTGCTTTTACCATTGGTAATGTTTTAATTTTTAAAAAATAATACAGTTTTACTGACTACTCTTAATTTACCCATTTTTCTACTGTTCTCTAAAAAGAAAGGATGACTTAACCCACACATCCTTCTACCTTTGACCCTTTTCCACCTAGATTTTTGGAATTAAATTATTATTTTTAGTTCTACTGTTGGTATCCTATATTCATAAATTTATTGTTCCGTTAACTTTAGGTAGTATATCTTGATTCCCCACCACGTAAAATAAAAATACTAAAACGCCTTACTCTCTTACCTTCAAACTTATATCTGCTGTTTTCCTTTTATTTGTAACATTATGTAGGTCAGTGTATTAGTCCATTCTTACACTGCTATAAAGAAATACCTAAGATGGGTAATTTATAAAGGAAAGAGGTTTAATTGACTCACAGTTCCACATGGCTGGGGAGGCCTCAGGAAACTTATAATCATGATGGAAGGCAAAGGGAAAGCAAGGACCATCTTCACATGGCATCAGGAGAGAGCAGCTCAGTGTGAGCACAGGAAAAAGACTGCCACTTTTAAAACCATCAGCTCTCATGAGACTCACTATCACGAGAACAGCATGGGGGAAACTGCCCCCATAATCCAGTCACCTCCCATCAGGTTCCTCCCGTGACACATGGCGATTACAATTCAAGATGAGATTTCAGTGGGGACACAGAGCCAAACCATATCAGTCATTTGCATTCTGTCCTATAGCCATTAATTAAATCTCCTATTCTGTGTCTTGAGTTTATTGTAAAAGTTTTCATTATTATGACTTTTAATATTGTTTAGTATAGAGCTAAGTAATGTGCTACATTTTCTTCTCTATGAGACCGATAATTCATTGATGTATTTAGCAGATATTTATGGAGTCTGCTGTGTACCAGGCAATGTTCTAAGTACTGCAAATACAGCAAACAACAAAGCAGAGAACAGACAAAATCCTTGCACTACGCTTACATCCTAGTGGGTATTAGACTATGAATAAGTAAATATGTAAAGTATCTGGTATGTTCAAAGGGAATTAGGGTTGTGAGACAAGGCATGTGAGACAGGCACACTGGGGGAGGGGAAAGCCTGAGGTAAACAGCCACTGGGCCAGATGGCGCAGTTTGCCTGGGGTGGGGTTGGTTTTTGGGCATCAGTGGATGTCCCCACTGCTCGTTTGTCAGGTGGGGAAGCTGAGGCCCATGGGACATGAGGTCACTGGGCTACTGTTGGCCATCCAAAGTAAGTCTCTGTCTTCGTAATCTACTATTCTCAAGGTTGGAAAGCTCGTTTACACATAGGAGGCAGCAAGGAACTGCAGAAACTGGCAGCCAGGGCCCAGCATCCTGCCAGTGAGAGGCCAAGTGTGTAGTCAGATGGCTAAACAATCACTTCTATAACATTTGGCCTCAAATGGCCAGAGCCTAATCAGTAACTGCTAGCTTCCCTAATCTCTGTGCCTGCTTCCAACTCTGGACCAACCAGAGAAAGCCAAGTGTGTCCCCCCCACCACTTCCATCCCCCGCTAGTCACATAGGATGCTCTGCCTTGAGTGTCTGTCACCAACTTCCCCAGGCCAGCAGCCTCCATCTAGACATTCCTGGAGCCTGCCCTGTGAAGGTTTTCCACTCTTCTGCCTGCCCTCCAGTTTCTACCAAACTAACCTCATTGCTAGCAAGCTCTGAATAAATAGCCTTTGCCAGTTCTAAAAAACAAACAAACAAAAAACGATAGGGGTTGTGGGTGAGGGTTAAGTATGAAGGGAGTGTGTGTGGCAGGGGTTACAATTTAAAATAGAATGGTTAATGGCTGGGCACAGTGGCTCACGCTTGTAATCCCAACACTTTGGGAGGCTGAGGTAGGAGGATCACTTGAACCCAGGAGTTTGAGACCAGCTTGGGCAGCATAGCAAAACCCCATGTCTATTTAAAACCAAAAAACAAAAACAAAAAATGGGATGGTTAGGAAATCCCTCACTGAAAAAGTAACTTTTGAGCAAATACACAAAGAAAGTGAGAAAGCAAGCATTTCAGGTTGCCTGAGGGAAGTAGGTTGTAAGCAGAAGGAATGGCAAGTACAAAGGCTCTGGGGCAGGAGAGTGCCTGGTATATTGGAAGCACAGCAAGGAGGCCAGTGTGTTTAGAGCAAAAGGTACAGGCAGAGATGAGATGAGATTAGATAAGTAACAGGATACCAGACCATTGGTTTAGTACTTTTCAATACTGTCAGCCCTATCACCTACATTTTCACTACAAACATGCTACAGTATTCCTTATACTATCTGAAATGAAATGCATACATAGTATAACCTACCTATGCTTACATAATTAAGTATATAAAGAAGAAATAACAAATTTTAGATGAAATTATATCCAGTACGTAAATGGCCCTAACAATACTAGAAGACCTAAAGTAGTACACTTTTACAGAGAATTGCAGTGGGTAAGATACCTGCAAATGTAGACAGAAATGATGTGTTGGTAACTCATATACCACAGTGGATTGTAAATGGTGATGTTATTTTCTGAAGTGGTAAACAACTCCTGATAAAATTCTTATCAAAGTACAACCTTCCTTTGATTGACACAGCAATTTGTGCAAAAAATACTGTGTGTTTATATGTAAAGTGGAGTTACATCTAATCTAAAATAATTATGAGTAAGTTTCTAAGTGAAAGTCCAGTAGGACATTCAGATGTCAAACAGGAAGCCAGATAGCTGTCATCCATGGGCCCTCATCTGCTACCCAGGAATAATTTTCCCAGTCATTGTTACCAAAAATGCCCGCATACATTTTCTAAACACTCCCCATTGACAAACTACTGGTGTAGGGCCTTATAAAGACCATTGTAAGGATTTTGGCTCTTATTCATAATGAATAAAAGGAAATAATTAGGAAGCTATTGGAGAGTTTTAAACAGAGGAGTGGGATTATACAACTTATATGTTAAAAGGATCATTCTGGCTCCTGTGCTGAGAATCAGCTATAGATGAGCAAGGGTGATAACAAAGAGATAATTTAAGAGGCTTTTACAAAAATCCAGATGAAAGATGATGTGACTTATGTTAGGGAGATGGCAGAGGAAGTGGTAAGACAGGGTCAGATTCTGGATATATTTTGTAGGTAGAGCTGATATCATTTATTGATAGATTTGTAAAGTGTCACAAGAGAACGATAAGTTAACTTTTTTTTTTTCTTTGCTTGTTTTTTAAGAGACAGGATCTTCCTCTGTCACCCAGGCTGGAGTGCAATGGCACATTCATAGCTCATTGCTGCCTCAAAGTCCTGAGCTCAAGTGATCTTCTTGCCTCAGCCTCCTGACTAGTTGGGACTACATACAGATGCCTGGCTGATTTTTAATTTTTCTGTAGAGGTTGGGGGTGGGGGGGTCTCACTATGTTGTCCAAGCTGGTCTCAAACTCCTGGCCTCAAGCAATTCTCCCACCTCAGCTTCCCAAAGTGCTGGGATTACAGGTGTGAGCCACTGCACCTGAACTGTACCAATGTTTTTGATTTGAGCAATTGGAAGGGTGGAGTTCCCATATATTAATTTGGGGAAGACTGTTGATAGAAGAGTAGATTTGTGAATGGGGGATGAAATCAAGCATTCAGTTTTGATGCTGTTGTAAATGGTAAATTTTTAAATATAATTTTCTGCTTATTGCTGTTATAAAAATATTAACCACTTTGTATATTGAAATTAGATCTAGCAACCTTACTAAATGCAGTTATTATAGTATTTTATTTGAATCTTCTTTGTTTTCTCTACTAACACAATAATATAGTCTATGAATATTACAGTTGTATATCTTCCATTTGAATTTTTATAATTTCTTTTTCTTGCCTCATTGCACTGGGCAGAGCTTGTGGTACAGCACTGGGTAGAATTGGTGATAGCAAGTATTCTTGCCTCATTTTCAGTCTTATCACAGTTTCTCAAATTAAGCAAGTTCCCCTCTATTCTTAGTTAAGATGTAGATATAGATACATTTTTTTGAGACAAGAGTTGTGCTCTGTCACCCAGGCTAGAGTGCAGTGGCACTATCTTGGCTTACTGCAACCTCCATCTCCCAGGTTCAAGCAATTCTCATGCCTCAGCCTTCCCGAGTAGCTGGGATTACAGGCATGCACCACCACTCCCAGCTAATTTTGTATTTTTAGTAGAGATTGGGTTTTGCCTTGTTAGTCTCAAACTCCTGGCCTCAAGTGATCTGCCCACCTTGACCTCCCAAAGTGCTGGGATTACAGGTGTGAGGCACCATGCCTGGGCAATTAAGATATATTTTTAAAACTATGAATGAAAACTGAACTTTAGCAAAAGTTTTCGTGTACTTATTGAGATGATTATGATTTTTTTTTTTTAAAGACAGAGTCTTGCTTTTTTTGAGACAGGCAGGCACCACCACGCCCGGCTAATTTTGGTATATTTTGTAGAGATAGGGTTTCACCATGTTGGCCAGGCTGGTCTTGAACTCCTGGCCTCATGTGATCTGCCTGCCTCAGCCTCTCAAAGAGCTGGGATTACAGGCGCATGCCACCATGCCTAGCCGAGATGATTATGATTTTTATCTTAATTGTTAATTGGTTTATTCCACTGATTAGATTTTTTGAATAGTCAACCAACTTTACATTCCTGAAATAAACTCAGCTTAGTACTCATCATGATCAAGCTGAATTTATTGAGTATATTAAGGGATTCTGTTTGCTAATATTTTGTTCAGAAACTTCACATCTGTTTTTGAGACAGATTGGCCTGTAAAGTTTCCTTTCTTGTAATAATGCCCTTGTGAAATTTTGTATTAACAGAATTGAGGCTGGATTATAGTTTTGGCAAGGCTCTGTCTTCCTCTGATTTACTTCCATTCCTAGGCCATACTTTTCCAGTTGTTCCAGATGAAAGCCTGGGGTGTTCAGTGTAGCCCATTCCTCTGGTAGGTCCTGAAATCTAATCCTTCTCTGCTTAGCAAGATGAGAATGCCCAAAACTCATTTTGTTTAACATGTTCCTTTGTTTTCTTTACTTCTTTTGAATGGGTAGTTAGTTTTAGAGGCTTGGTTATATTTAATTCCCCAGAAGGCACGCAATAGCTGATTATCATTCTCTCGTGATGAAAATAGCAGTAGTTCTTTCATGATCTTTGCCTGGGTTTATTCATTAAGGGTTGCAAAATAACTGTACTCCAATTCTGTCATCTTCTCTTTGTTTTAAAGAAGAATAATGATAAGTTAATATATGTAATAACAGTAAACTGTAAACCATGACTTAAATAGGAGAGTTGCAGGTAAGCTTTAACAGAGAGGTTGTATGAGGTAGTTGAAAGAAGATAGATCTAGAAATCAAAAGAGCAGAGTTCTGTTCCTGGCTCTGTTAATTTACTAAGTTATATGACCTTGTATAACTCACTTTTTGGACACCTTATGTCACGTTTGAAAAGTAAAGTTTTGGGATCTCACATTTTTTTCAGTTCTAAACTTACATGATTAAACACATCTGCTTAGGTCATACAGTCTATTCAGATGGAATTGTAGTCCAAATTTATAGTTAAAGAATAGCCCATTTTAATTTAACTATTCCTCTTTGGTTAAAGACTCAAAACAAGTTTTGCTACTGTATTGTGCGCATCTGCATACTATGTTTGCTATATAGCATAGGCTATGTATGTATGTGTTAAGATGCTGTAAAGCTCCTTATAACTTGATGAATATTATGTCACTTTTGTTAATGTTGGGAACTGCTGACTATAGAGTCTCTCACATCAGAGGTCTGCATTTCTTGTGATGGATAAATCACGAAAGCAGGGGGAGGGAATCTATTTTTTAAATAATTTTTTCAAGAAAGGGAAAAATGACTTAATTCATCTAAGAATGAAATTCCACATACTAGTTTTTCTAAAGTACATTTTTGTGAATAAAAGTTTCTTACTCAGAAGGAGTTTGGAAAAGGCATACAAACAAAAGAAGTCCCAGTGTCAAATATTTTAGCCATTAAGCATAAATCAGCTGCAATTCTTCAGCGAGATAGTGTCTCAGAGAAGAAAAGGGATCTCTTTAATAATGTTTATTTCAGTGGGCATGTTTTTCTCATAGTCTAATAAGACACAAAGCTTATTTCTATTTCCACGTTTCTATAATAGTTCATAAATGAAATAATTTTGTTCCCTTCTACCAAGTCTTCCTTTTTTTTTTTTTTTTTTTTTGTCTTTTTGGCTGGCATAAATAGCTATATGTGACCAATTGAACTGATTAAGCTAAGTGATAGAATGATGCCCATTGGAAATACTTTGAAACCTGTATCCATTCCTCAGATCCTACAGGTAACTCAGAGATCATAAAGCTCTACTTTCTCATTTTATTATTAATATAAAATGAAAACATTGAGGGATTGAGTTGAAGGTAGTAGTAGAAATGAGCCTTAATATGGAAAATGAAAGAAAGCACAGGTATATAATACTACAGATAAGAAAGTGGGGAGACCCAACCACAGAACCCAAAGAAATTAAGATATGTGAATACTTGGAGTATATGCTAATACCTTTTTTTTTTTTTTTTTGAGACAGAGTTTTGCTCTTGTCGCCCAGGCTGGAGTGCAGTGGCGCAATTTCAGCTTACTGCAACCTCCGCCTCCCAGGTTCAAGCTATTCTCCTGCCTTAGCTTCCCGAGTAGCTGAGATTACAGGCGCCCACCACCACTCCTGGCTAATTTTTTTGTGTTTTTAGTAGAGACGGAGTTTTTCACCATGTTGGCCAGGTTGGTCTCGAACTCCTGACTTCAGGTGATCCACCTTGGCCTCCCAAAGTGCTGGGATTACAGTTGTGAGCCACCGCACCCAGCCTATGCTAATACATTTAAAATTTTAGATTAGCTGTAAATATTCTAGGAAACTATACATTACTAGTTAACTAAGGCAGGAAAAGAAAAGTCGAATAGGCCCCAAACCTTAAAAAAATAGAGCTGTTAAAAACAAAACCAAAAACTGTCTCTTTATCTAAAAGGAACTAATATAGATGGTTTCATAGGTCAGTTCTGTCAAACACTCAAAGAGTAATTCCTGTGCTATTTAACTATACCAGAGTATATAGGAAAATAATGGACAGTTTTCAGATACTTTTATAGCATTAACAAAATCCTGCTACAACAACTTAATAAAGATAGTGCAAAAAAAGAAAACAATAGAGCAGTTCTGCTGATGAATATACATGAAAAAGTATCGCAGATGAGCAGTCTGGGTAAAAGAAAAGAACAAATAGGCACAAAAATAGCAACAAATGGGATCTAAAAGTAAATACTAAAGCGGTGGCTCACACCTGTAATCCTAGCACTTTGGGAGGCTGAGGCAGGAGAATCGCCTGAACCTGGGAGGTGGAGGTTGCAGTGAGCCGAGATTGTGCCATTATACTCCAGCCTGGGAAACAAGAACGAAACTCCATCTCGAAAAAAAAACACACACACACAAAAAACCCCCAAAAATTAGCCTGGTATGGTGGCAGATGCCTGTGGTCCCAGCTACTTGGGAGGCTGAGGCAGGAGAATTGCCTGATCCCGGGAGGTGGAGGTTGCAGTGAGCTGAGATCGCGCCACTGCACTCCAGCCTGGGCAACAGAGCAAGACTCCATCTCAAAAAAAAAAAAGGATCAACAATCTAAAACCATACAATTCTTCAAAGGAAGCATAGGCTAGTCTTAACAACTTTGGATCTGGCAGTGGATTCTTAAATAAGACATTAAAAGCATGAGCAACAAAAGAAAAAATAGATACATTGGATTTCATCAAAATTAGGAACTACTGTGCATCAAAGAATATTATCAAGAAAGTGAAAAGAAGCTATAGAATGGGAGAAAATGTTTGGAAATTATATGTCTGATAAGGATCTAGTGTCCAGAATATATAAAGAACCTTTATATCTCAACAAAAAATACAACCTAATTTTTAAATGGGCAAAGGACTTGAATAGAAATTTCTCCAAAGAAGGCCAGGCACAGTGGCTCATGCCTGTAATCCCAGCACTTTTGGAGGCTGAGTCAGCAGGATCGCTTGAGCCCAGGAGTTCGAGATCAGCCTGGGCAACAAAGTGAGACCTTGTCTCAAATTTAAAAAATAAAAAAAAAGAAATTTACCTAAAGAAGATATACAGCTAGCCAACAAACACTTGAAAGGATACTCAACATCATTATCAGCGAAATGCAAATCAAAGCCACAAAGATACCACTTCACACTCGCTTGGTTGGCTATAATTTGAAACAAAACAGAAAACAACAAGTGTTGGCAAGGATGTAGAGAAATTGGAGCTCTCATACATTGCTGGTGGGAATGTAAAGTGGTTCAGCTTCTGTGAAAAGCAGATTGGTGGTACTTCAAAAAGCTAAGTATAGAATTACCATATGACCCAGCAATTCACTGCTAGTTATATACCCCCAAAGAATTGAAAACAGGTACTTCAAGAAAAATACATGTTTATAGCACTACTATTCACCACAGTCCAAATGTCCATTGATGGTAGTATGAATAAACAAAATTGTGGTACATACATACAATGGAATGTCACTCAGGTATGAAAAGCATTGAAATACATGTATGCTATGGTGTGGATGAACCTGGAAAACAGTATGCTAGGTAAAATAAGCCAGACATGAAAGGCCATATATTGTATGCTTCCCTGTATGTGAAATATCCAGGATAGGTAAATCCATAAAGACAGAATGCAGATTGGTAGTTGCCGGGGGCTGTGGGGAGGGGCAGTGGAGACAACTGCTTAATGTTGTTTTATTTTAGAATCGGGGGGTTGAATACATTTTTAAACAAATAAACAATATTTTTCTCTGGATAGCTGAGTTTTCAGTGAAGACACATCTCTCCTGTTAATAGAAATTAAAAGGGAATTGAAAGCAAGGCAGGAATGATGACAGCTGATGGAGCAGCCTAGGAGAGAAAGAATTTATGAGGCTGGGCGTGGTGGCTCACCCTGTAATCCCAGCACTTTGGGAGACCCAGGTGGATGGATCATCTGATCATCTGAGGTCAGGAGTTCGAGACCAGCCTGGCCAACATGGTGAAACTCTATCTCTACTAAAAATACAAAAATTAGCTGGGTGTGGTGGCGTACGCCTGTAATCCCAGCTTCTCGGGAGGCTGAGGCACAGGAATTGCTTGAACTCAGGAGGTGGAGGTTGCAGTGAGCTGAGATCATGCCACTGAACTCCAGCCAGGGCAACAGAGTGAGACTGTCTCAAAAAAAAGAAAAAAAAAAGAAAAAAGAATTTATTAGCTAAAGTCTTTGGTGTCACCATCCATTTTGAAGGCACTGGACTTACACAAAGCAGATAATTAGAACTGAGAACCCAGCATAGAACTGGAACCTCCTGTGGGCTTTACAATCCATGAAATAGAGAACTAGAAGAAAAAGCAGAAAGAGAAGCTTGCCTGGACTCAAATGGAAAAAAAGGAGCCTCCTAGAAAAAATTGAAATCCTAGGTTTGGACTTCATAAGTCATAACCCTGCATGGTATAAGAATCCCCATATTAATGTAAAATAGGTCTTAGGATAGTAATACGGCTGGGGTACTGTATTAGTTTGTTCTCATGCTGCTATGAAGAAATACCCAAGACTGGGTAATTTATAAAGAAAAGAGGTTTAATTGACTCAGAGTTCCTCATGGCTGGGGAGGCCTCAGGAAACTTGCAATCGTGGCAGAAGGCACCTCTTCACAAGGTGGCAGGAGAGAGAATGAGAGCCAGCAAGGGAAATGCTAGACGCTTATAAAACCATAAGATCTCATGAGACTAGCTGATTATCCCAAGAACAGCATGAGGGAAACAGCCCCCATGATCCAATTACTTCCACCTTGTCGTGCCCTTGATGCATGGGGATTATTGCAATTCAAGGTGAGATTTGGGTGGGAACACAGAGCTAAACCATATCAGGTATCTTTTAGAAGAAAAAAAATTTTTTTTTTTGAGACGGAGTCTTGCTCTGTTGCCCAGGCTGGAGTGCAGTGGCACGATCTCAGCTCACTGCAAGCTCCGCCTCCCTGGTTCATGCCATTCTCCTGCCTCAGCCTCCCGAGTAGCTGGGACTACAGGTGCCCACCACCACCACGCCCGGCTAATTTTTTGTATTTTTAGGAGAGATGGGGTTTCACCGTGTTAGCCAGGATGGTCTTGATCTCCTGACATCGTGATCCTCCCACCTCGGCCTCCCAGAGTGCTGGGACTACAGGCCTGAGCCATGGCACCCAGTCTAGAAGCAAATTTCATAATCCAGAATGCATGAAATTCCTCCCAAAAAGTTTAGCATCAGTAAAGATGACCTTATAACTTTTTAAATGTTATAAATCTTATGTAGGAATGATTAGCAGATATAATAAAGGATTATACAATAAGAGACAACAAGAGAATTAGCACTTTAAGACCTTGAGATAATAGACCATAGAAGAGACTATGAAATATATGCGTGGAAAATCATTAGGACTTCAGGCTCTCCAGCCTTTGGACTCTGGGACTTGTACCAGCAGCACCCCCAGGTTCTCAGGCCTTCAGCCTCCGAGAGTTGTATTGTCAGCTTCCTTGGTTCTAAGGCTTTTGGACTTGAACTGAACCACACTATTGGTATCCCTGGGTTTCCAGCTTGCAGACAGCCTGTCATAGGACTTCTTATCCTCCATAATTGCATGGCCAATTCCTGTAGTAAATATTCATTCATTCATCTATCCATCTGACCATCCATCCATCCATCCTATTGGTTCTGTCTCTCTGGAAAACCCTAACAGTAGACAAGACTGAACACGTGGGATACTATACTAAATCTGTACTTAAAAAGCGAAGACATATATAGTATTTGCTATGTGTGGGGCATGGTTCTAAGTACTTTGTAGGTATTAAGTCATTTAATCCTCAAACTGCCAGTGGTTACTGCTGTATTCTCATTTTAGAAGATGAGGAAATTGAGACACAGACAAGTAATACACAGACAAGTCGTGTAATTTGCCCAAGACCATGAAGCCAGAAAGCTGCAAATCAAGGATTTGATCCCTAACCATTTTTTGCTTCTACTTAATTGGCAAATAATTGAGAGCAACAAAATTTCTGATCAGGGAAATGTGACTATGAAAAAAATATATATATGGAACTGATTGAAAGTCAAGTGAAGAGGAAGAACTGGAAAATACTTTAAGGCCAGGCATGGTGGCTGAAGCCTGTAATCTCAGCACTTTGGGAGGCCAAGGCAGGCAGAATGCTTGAGCTCAGGAGTTTGAGACCAGCCCGGGCAACACAGCAAAACCCCATCTCTACAAAAAAAATACAAAAATTAACTGGGTGTTGTGGTGTGTGCCTGTAGTCCCAGCTCTTTGGGGGCTGAGGTGGGAGGATTGCTTGAGCCTAAGGCTGCAGTTAACTATGTTTGGACCACTGCACTCCAGCCTGGGTGACAAAGCAAGATCCTGTCTCAAAAGAAAAGAAAATACTTTGAAGTGTTTGCCCCTGCTGTTGAGACCTGAGGTATTAGTAAAAGAAATAAGCAGGTAAATACAAACATCAGAGGTACAGGAGGTGCAGTTTTCAACAAGCTAAGCTCTGAAGGCCACCAAAGAAATCAGATAACAGTTAAAATTTTATTGAGCACTTACTGATTACCAGACACTGCGCTGGGTGCTTCAAATATATAAACTCTTTTTAATTCTTGAAACAACACTACTGAGTCACAAGATAAGTATCCTTCCCAAGGTCAAGTAACAAGTGCAGTGAGCTGAGAGTCAAAACTTGGTACTGGAGTTCAAGAGAGGAATAAGGATCAGTGTTTAATTTGTGTATTAAGGGTGAAAGCTATGGGAAGTTCAAAGAGAGTAGTCAGAAACTCCTAAAATCCTACTTTTGCTCAAAGTCTAAAATATACTGAGTGTTTACTGTTAGGTACATACTAAACACTTTGCGTATACACTCAGCCCTCCGCATCCATAGAGTCAACCAACTGCAAATTAATGTTTAAGGGCAAGAGAAGATGGGTGTCCCAGCTGTGAGAGAGAAAAAGAGAGAGAGAAGAGGACTGAGAAGGGAGAAGCTCAAGCTGAAATTTCAGATGAATTCATTCATGCAATAAATATGTATTTAGCACTACTATATATGACACACACTAGTGGTTACCATACCTGAATGAATACAACACGTACAAGTTTCCTACCATTGTGGCACTTACAATCTAAATCAAAAAACCTCTGAGAACTTGAGCTAGGCAAAGATTGCTTAGCTATAATACCAAAAACAGTATATTAAAAAAAATTAACCTCATCGAGATGAAAACTTCTGCTTTGCTAAAGACACTGTTAAGAGAATGAAAAATTGGCCAGACATGGGGCTCATGCCTGTAATCCCAGCACTTTGGGAGGCCGAGGCGGGTGGATCACCTGAGGTCGGGAGTTCCAGATCAGCCTGACCAACATGGAGAAACCCCATCTCTATTAAAAATACAAAATTAGCCGGGTGTGGTGGCACATGCCTGTAATCCCAGCTACTCAGGAGGATGAGGCAGAAGAATTGCTTGAACCTGGGAGGCGGAGGTTGTAGTGAGCTGAGATCACGCCATTGCACACCCCAGCCTGGGCGACAGAACGAGACTCCGTCTCAGAACAAAAATGAATGAAAAGTAAAGGCAGAGACTAGGAAAAAACATTTGCAAAACATGTCTACAAAAGGCTTGAACCCAGAGTGTATTATTAACTCTCTAAACCCAACAGGAAAGAAACATAATTTTTTAAGAATAGACAAATTTAAACAGATACTTCATCAAATAAGATGTGGATACAAATAAAAAGAAAAAAAAGATGTGGATAAGTAGATGCCAAGAACTATCAGTCATTAGGGATATTATGCAAATTAAAATGGCAAGAGATACCACTATGTACCTATTAGAATGGCTTAAAAAAGAGACGATACCAATTGCTGAGCAACTGGAACTCATACATTGCAGGTGGGAAGGTAAAATTGTGATGACATTTTGGGAAAGAGTATCTTATAAAGTCAGACATTCAATTACCATATGACCAAATTTCTTATATGAAAACCTATAAAGGAATAGTATGGCTTTATTTATTATCACCAAAACCGGAAATAACCAAGATATACTTCAACTGGTGATTGGATAAACATAGTGATATATGCATATGATGAAATACTACTCTGTGGTAAAAGAGAACATACTGTATGATTCCATTTATATGACTTTTTTTTTTTTTTGAGATGGAGTCTTGCTCTGTCTCCCAGGCTGGAGTGCACTGATGCCACCTTGGCTCACCGCAACCTCTGCCTCTTGGGTTCAGGCAATTCTCGTGCCTCAGCCTCCTGAGTAGCTGGGACTACAGGAGCCTGCCACCACACCCAGCCACTTTTTGTATTTTTAGTAGAGATGGGGTTTCACCATATTGGCCAGGCTGGTCTCAAACTCCTGACCTCAAGTGATCCACTTGCCTCCACCTCCCAAAGTGCTGGGATTACAGGCGTGAGCCACCACGCCCAGCCAATATGATAATTCTTTAAAAGGCAAAATTATAGGAATAGAAAACAGATCAGTAGTTGCAGAGGCTGGGGACTGGGTGTGGTGGGGGAGGGCAGGCGGAGGAGTTGATTACAAATGGGCATCATGAGGGAATTTTTGAGAGTGATCAGACTTGATTGTGGTGGTAGTTACACAGCTGTATACATTTGTCAAATCTCATAGACCTCTAAACCAAAAAGAGTGAATTTTACTGTATGTTTTTTAAAAATGAGTAAATCTATGTCCTACAGGACCATGTATATGAGCTAGAGTCATCTCTAAGAACCAGTCTTACTCAGAAATTGCAGATACTAGATTTTTAACTATTTTTTTAGTTTTGCTCAATAATGATGTACTTTTACAGCACCATATTCCAAAATGTCATTAAGCCTCCTAGTCCGCCTCATATTAATAATTCTCAAGTCCAGGTGCAGTGGCTCACACCTGTAATCCCAGCACTTTGGGAGGCCGAGGCAGGCAGATCACGAGGTCAAGAGATCGAGACCAGCCTGGCCAGTATGGTGAAATCCCATCTCTACTAAAAATACAAAAATTAGCTGGGTGTGGTGGCACACGCCTGTAGTCCCAGCTACTCAGGAGGCTGAGGCAGGAGAATCGCTTGAACCCGGGAGGCAGAGATTGCAGTGAGCTGAGATTGCACCACTGTACTCCAGTCTGGCGACAGAGTGAGGCTGTGTCTCAAAAAAATAATAATAATTCTCTTCCAAGTGGAAATTCTGTAACTTGAGAGGAAATGAGAAAGTATGAATAATGATGAACTTATTTTAGATGTTTTCACTGAGTCTTCAGAGAGGCTCACTTGTAATTGACAGTTTCAGCCCTGCCAGAGGAAGAATTTGCCAGGGAAAGGACTCTTATTTTTAAAAATTGTAGGAAAAAATGTGGAAAGAACCTGTTTTTTTTTTAAATTTCCTTATAATAGGAATGAAAAATCAGGAAAAGTTTTCTTGAATTGTGGTAAAGTCAAGTGTGAGAACTTTGGACTTTGAAGTCATGAATGTAAACCATATTCTTCCCTGACTAGCTGTGTGTATGACTTTGGGAAAGTTTTTCAGCACTCCTGAACCTCATTTCCTTTCCTCAGTTTTAAAATCAAGTGATCAAACATACCTTTCTGAGTAGTTATTAGGTTAGACAAAATATATAAAGCATCCAGCACAGTTTCTGGCACACAGTAGGTAATCAGTAAATGTTAATTCCTTTTTAATGAACATTTCCTATGCCAGTCAGTCCAGTTAGGTCTCAGGCTACAAGTTCTTACTCACTTTCTGTGGGATGTGGTTCCAATATCAGTTCAGTTTTCTTTTTCTTTTTTTTTTCTTTTTTTTGAGACAAAGTTTCTCTCTTGTTGCCCAAGCTGGAGTACAATGGGGTGATCTCGGCTTACTGCAATCTCTGCCTGCCAGGTTCAAGCAATTCTCCTGCCTCAGCCTCCCGAGGAGCTGGAATTACAGGCGCCTGCCACCATGCCTGGCTAATTTTTGTATTTTTAGTAGAGACGGGGTTTCGCCATGTTGGCCAAGCTGGTCTCAAACTCCTGACCTCAAGTGATCCACCCACCTCGGCCTCCCAAAGTGCTGGGATTACAGGCGTGACCCACCGCGACCGGCCATCAGTTTAGTTTTCAAAGCCTCTGCAATGCTATTCTGATCTGCGGTGCTATTCTGATCTATTCTGTGTGTATGTCACCTAGGGGTCAGTTTGGGAACCAGGAGGTGGTCTGTATATTAGTTCAGCTGTCAAAGTCCTGAGTATGCTAATTAGAATCAGATTCTTACCTGTGCAGCTGCAGGGTGAGCCTAGGAATTCACAAACAAATTCATGGTCTTTCTCAAGCTCCTCCCTTCCTGTGCCTTCTTTGGTACTTTCTGGTTCCCTGGAGCTCCCCTTTCTTGACCTCTAGCCAGAAACCTAGGGCTCTGGTTGGCCTGCACTACCATGAAGTCCCACAATTTCACTTGTATCTAGGATCAAATGGCAGGAGATCAGAGAGAAAGGAAAAAAGCAAAAGGGGGATTGGCCCCATCTTCCTGGAATCACCATTCTACCAAACAGAGAGGCAGTTCCCCCTGCCTTAGAGGTGTGGCTCTTGCAGGGGTTTCTTTTGTTGCTACCTCTGCTGCTATCACACCATCACAGGATTTCCTGGTGGCTGAGATGTAAGAGAACCAATAAAAGAGAGGGGGACTCCTGTACTCTCTCTGAGCTTTAGGAGTTCCATTTCCTGGTCCTCAAACCAGAGCTAGAGAGATTTTCCCAGACATCTTTCTGTATCACAGCACTCGCTTTTGGATTTCTGGCTAGAAGTTCAGGCTTGTCAACCTAAAAGGAAGAAGCTGAGGCAAAATTAATGTAAGTAGAAGGTTTATTTGGGCCAAGGTTGAGTATTGCAACCCAGAAGCATAGATTGAAGTTGCCCTGGATGTATACTTCAGTTAGCAGTTACAGGTGGATTTTTGTTTTTTATTTTAAAAAGTTTTCTTCATTTCATTTTGGTTTTTAGAGACAGGGTCTCTCTCTATCACCCAGGCTGGTGTGCTGTGGTGTGATCATAGCTCACTGCGGCCTTGGACTCCTGGGCTTAAGCAATCCTTCTGCCTCAGCCTCCTGAATAGTTAGTACTACAGGTGTGTGCTAATTTTTTTATTTTTGTAGAGACAGGGTCTCACTATGTTGTCCAGGCTGGTCTTGAACTCCAGGCCTCAGATGATCTTCTTACCTTGGCTTCCCAAAGTGCTGGGATTACAGGCTTGAGCCACCATACCCAGCAAGCAAGTGGAGTTTTAAAAGCAAAAGAAGGGGACAGGGAGTGGGCTGATAAAAAGTTGTGTGTCAGGAATTCTCATTGGTTTACAGAAATAACATTGACTAGTGATTGGCTATACATTGTTAAGCAATAGGTAGGGTGTGGGTTATAGTGTCTGGTGTGACATTATTAGGTTTATTTCTAGCTACTTGTGGCAGTAGCAAGCATTTTCAGGAGAGGGATACATGGGTCAAAGTGGGTAGTAGAGCGTGATTGCAGTCTCATCTTAATGTCTCTATTGGCCTGATAATTAAAAGGACTTGCATTCCTCAGATGAAAGTTATTTTCTCAGTCTGGAGGTACCAAAGAGAGAAAGGGGAGGTAAATTCCTTGCCATTTCCATAGTACTTTGAATTCTGGTATTCTACTCTGATTCATCTTCTGTTTACTTTTCAGAAAGCTTAAGTACCTATTCTGTGAATTCTGTTCAGGTTTTAAGGTTTCAGTCAGTGGGAAGGACAGGGTGTAGTGTGTCTACTCCGTATTACCTGCAACCAGACCTTGAATCATATTACTACCTTGAAAAAAAAAAAAACTTTGTTAGTTCTCCATTGTCTCTAGGGTTAAGTGCCATTTTAGCACCTCAATTCCCCAGGTGCATGTATTTCATATTCAAGCCAAACAAGACTATTTGTTGATGCTGGGGAGAAGAGAACTTTCCCTCTACCCTTTGAACATTCAGTATTTGAGTATGTGAGATAAACTGACAGTAGATAGATTAGCAGGGAAAAAAAAAGGCAAAATTTATTATGTGTTTGTACATAAGAGTCTCACAAAATATCAAACTTGAAGGCCAGATGATTGACATTTTTATGGCATCCTGAGCTACAGAAAGGAATAGGGACTTGAGGGGAGGTGGTGACAACCTATGGGACTATGAGGGGAGGAAATGCACGGTGAGCAAAGCTTGCCTTGTTATGCAGATAAAAAGTCTCTCCTATAATACAAGTTGTCTGGAGCAGCCCTCAGAAGAATAGGTGATAGCCTGTGACAGAGTCTGGGGTGTTGACCGTTAGTCTCTTCTTCTGTGATACAGTTAATCTACCCCAGTTGATAAGATTCCCAGGGAGGGCATAAATAACAATTGAGCTCCTTTTTGAAGGATCTATCTTTGGGCAGATAAGAGAGCTTCAGAGAAAGCCCCTCCTGCTCTTCAGGGGAGAAGGAGGAGTTAGAGTCAGGAGGTCAAGAGAAGGTCAGACCTTGGTTCTTTTTTAGTTCAAAGCATTCAGCACCATACTTTGGGGTAACGTGTTCTGAGTCCCAGCACTGATACATAGTTATCCTATTCCACACCTATAACTTTATGTATTTCTCTCAGCCTGAAATAGTCTTTCAACCTTTCAATTTTTGCCTCTTCAAATTTTATGTATCTTTTCAAGCTCAGATGTAATACCTTCATAAAATTTGTTTTGGTGATCTGCCATGCTCTTATATGCTCCCCATAAAAGGAATGTGTGATTTCTTCAGTCTTTGAAAAACTGTCATTTTTGTTTGTGCTTTTTAAAAGATATGTATATATACTTTGTCTTAGGATTACTTTTATGTGTAGAGACATAGTAACTGTGTCTAGCGCAGGCTATTATGCTTCAGATCCAGTAGATTCAGGTAATGTTTAGTGCCTACTGTGTACTTCTTCACTTACTCACCTGTAACACCTTTTTGAAATAATTATTCTAAATCTTATTCCTATGAGGACACTGAGAATATGTAAAGTTACATTATCTGAACTCTTTTTCACTGGCTGTGTATTTCTTGAGTGTAGGAATTTCAATACAGGTTGTGTGTCTCTTATCCAACATGCTTGACACCCAGAAGTGTTTCAGATTTCAAATTTTTTCAGATTTGGAATGTTCAACCTGTATTCAATTTTCACCTAATGCTTACTGTATAGTAGCTACTTGGTAAACATAGCAATAGCCCTAACTTTTCCTTCTTTCTACAGTACCTTGGCCATGTAGAAGTTGATGAATCAAGAGGAATGCACATCTGTGAAGATGCTGTAAAAAGATTGAAAGCTGTATGTATTTGATGGTTGCCAGTGTTGATCTATATGCTATCAATATTTTCTTAAAAGATTTTGCTCAGTACATTTTAGTGACCCAGTAAAAACTGTGTTTCTGTTAAAAAGATGTGGGCTTGCTAATAAGGAGCATCTCAGCCAAGCGCGGTGGCTCACTCCTGTAATCCTAGCACTTTGGGAGGCTGAGGCAGGAGGATTACATGAGGCCAGGAGTTTGAGACCAGCCTGGGCAACATTTCAAGACCCTGTCTCTATTAATTTCAAAAATTTTTTCTTAAATAATAAAATAATAATTAAAAAATTTAAAAGCATCTCATGTTGCCCATCCAGAGGTATAAATTATTAGATGAGCCGTTTAAATTTAGGCCAGATATTATCCTAAAGGTACTTTTGATTTATAACCCATATGAAACAAATGTTGTGAAATCTGATAGAAGAATAGTATTCTAAGACTAGGATTAAACTGTTACAGTTAACATCTTACCCTAACTGTGATAACTGGGCTATAAATTAGGGGTTTTAAATATACTGTAAAAAATAGCTTCCTGGGGAAAACTAGAGGATAGAGGTCTGTGTTGATGCCTGGTGAGGTTTCCTTTTTGGAGACTTCTTACTATTACCTTGACTCCTACTCCCCAATTTTCTTCTCTATACACCTCTAACATAAACAGTCTATTTCTACTGCCTTTTACATAAACTTTAGCACACTTGAAGTAGAGAGCCCTTTCCCAGGATAACGTTTCCTCTGCCTGTTATGCGATAGAACACATCCCAGGCACATGCCTGTGTATTCAGTGAAAGGAAAGAACGAGTTCGGAATTCATAAAGATTCAAAGTGTTAATTTCAGATTTTCCATAGGTTTGAGGAATGTTCCATAGATCTGATAGCCCTTTTCACAACCCTCCTTCTCTCTAATATGTGGCCTTTCCCCACTTTGCTGTGAAAGCTTTAAGCATTACTTCTGCATGCTCTGGTCCCAACAGCATTAAATACATGTTGCTTTGGGTTTGCTGGTATGGTGGGCTGCCACAAGTTTGACTACTAATGTGTGCTTTTTTCCCTCAATTTGCTTAGTAATCAGAACTTTTGTGCTTCTCGGCATAGTCTATATTACTTCTTATCTATAATTCCTGAATATAAAATATATAAAATTTAGAGAAAAAGCAACCAAGTCAGAGAGGTAGATTTAATTTTGGGATAAATACCTGAATCTGTCATAGAAGGGAAAAGAGAAAAGTAATTGGCTATAATATACAAAGAACTAAAAAATTTTAAAAAAAGATACAGACATACCTACACATATATACATACATAGATACCTATACATACTCTTTATCTCAGATTTTGATCATTAAAATTCTTAAATGATTCAAGCCTTTGCTAGTCTTATCTGTGCTCTCCCAATCTGTCATTACGTTAAGGGGACCTTGTGTTATGGTACATGAAATTATAGTTTGTAGACCTTCCATGCCAACCTAAATATATTCCCCAGTTGAACATAGTCTCAGATAATTTAATTTTCCATTTTGTCAAAACCAAATTTAAAAGAGAAGTAAAAATTTAATTTTCTTTAACAAAATAATTCCGGGTTTATCTAGAATAATAATAAACAAAATATCAGTTACTCGGGAGGCTGAGGTAGGAGGATTGCTTGAGTCTAGGAGTTTGAGACCAACCTGGGCAACACAGCGAGCCCTTGTCTCAACTAAATAAATACACAAACAAGATGATTTTAGCTAAGAACATTTTTTTAAAGTAATGCAGTTATTTGCCCATTAAATAATATTTTATACTAATGACTGAAAACAGTGAACAGACTAGATAGCCCTGAAACAAACTATAAATAATTATTAAAATCTTATAATTTACACAACTTATGGTGAAATGGCCACTGTGGAATGAGCCTTTAGAAAGTCTTTTGATTCAGAGTATGACTTCATGTGCACTCTGTAAGTAAGGAAAAGCTAGAGGTGGTTTAAGTTTGCCCAGAACATATTGAGAAACGGTATTTTGTTGTTTAATGAGCAGTTAATCCTCTTACCTGTCTAGCTTTGTTTTTTTTTGAAATACTTTTAATTAGAAATATCTCGTTATTATATAAGCAATATGTTTATTGTATAAAATACAAATGAACCAAAAAAGTACACAAATAAAATGAAATTTCCTACAACCCCAGAGATAGCCACTATTTAACTATCTAGTTTTAAAACTAATGTTTCAGTAGATTTTTTTGTTTTATTTTACCTTTTTTTTTTTTAAACCAAGAAGATAATAGGCGTGATTGCTTGAGGCATAGGACTATTTAGATAATAAAATTTAATGTTTTTATATTCATCAGAATTAGGAACTAAATAGCCATTTTAAAAATTATACCTATGCATGGAACAGTGGCTGGCACATAGTAGTAACTCAAAAAATACTTCTAGAATGAATATACAGAATACAATCTGATCTACAATATGTGGTCAAATTGAGTCTTACAATAACCATAATCAAATATTATGTCTAATGTTTTAAGTTTACCAAAACTGTTTTGTTTATTTCTAAAGATCTTTATTTTCCTGTGGTTTTTAATGACTAAAAGAAAGTTTTAAGCCGAACACAGTAGCTTGCGCCTATAATCTCAGCTACTTAGAAGTCTGAGATGGGAGGATTGCTTAAAGCCAGGAGTTCAAGACCAGCCTGGGTAACATAGTGAGACCCTGTCTCTATAAAAATAAATAATAAAAAAGAAAGTTTTAGATATGTTGGTGATTGTTTTCTAAACATACTTAAACTTTTAAACTTTGAGGGGAAATTGACCATTTCTAGACTTCTTATCAAGAAGTTATTTAAAATTTTTCAGACAAAAACTAGATTTGGAGCAAATGTTATATGTAGTTTTGCACTGGCATGTATTATTAAAACATGAAATTGAAGTTTTGGGTCACTGGAGTAAATTTCCTGTTTCTTATGCTCAGTGAAACATCCCCATTCTTTTTTTGCCCCCCCGCCGAGTCGGAGTCTTGCTCTGTCACCCAGGTTGGAGTGCAGTGGTGTGATCTTGGCTCACTGCAACCTCTGCCTCCCAGGTTCAAGCAATTCTCCTGCCTCAGCCTCCCGAGTAGCTGGGATTACAGGTGCCCGCCACCACACCTGGCTAGTTTTTTTGTATTTTTAGTAGAGACAGAGTTTCACCGTGTTGGCCAGGGTGGTCTTGAATTCATGACCTCGTGATCCACCCACCTCAGTCTCCCAAAGTGCTGGGATTACAGGCATGAGCTGCTGCACCTGGCCTCCCCTTTCTTTTAAATACTCTTTCTAGAGCTATACTGAGAATCTTGCAGAAAATCGGAAGTCTTTAGGATACTGTTCTTCTCATATCATAGTGTGCCACATGTATTCCTGATTTTTGTCTTCTTTTCATATTTTTACTATGCAGAAATTTCTCGTTGCCTTTTGATTTCTCTGAGCAAACATTCATCTAAAAATCATCCACTGGGGATCTACAACCTACTTTGCCAGATACTTATATTGTGCCAAATGCTATGTTTCTGGAGACTTTTTGTTTGTTTTTTTTATAGATTATAAAGCTTCCTTTTAGAGTTTCAAATAAGTGGGAGCAAATATAAGGATGCATAAGCCTGCAGAGGATTAAAGAAGAAATAGGATATCTTTGAAATTAGTTTGAATGCCAGAGTTTAAAATTTTAAAGAATAGCTCAGATGTACCAGTTAAGTAACAAAACAAGCATTTTAAACCTACCATGTGAATGATCTTTGGAAGGCAGCTATGCTCATCACTGTACCACCAACACATCTAGTGAATAATCTTTGAACTAAAAATGTAATATTTCTGGTGCTTTTTATTTATTCATTTTTTTTGGAGTGGAGTTTCGCTCTGTCACCCAGGCTGGAGTGCAGTGGCACGATCTTGGGTCGCTGCAACCTCCGCCTCCCGGGTTCACGCGATTCTCCTGCCTCAGCCTCCAGAGTAGCTGGGATTACAGGCGCCCACCACCACACTCAGCTAATTGTATGAGACGGGGTTTCACCATGTTGGCCAGGCTGATCTCCAACTCCTGACCTTAGGTGATCCACCAGCCTGGGCCTCCCAAAGTGCTGGGATTACAGGCATGAGCCACTGCGCCCAGCCTTCTAGCGCTTTTTAAATTTGTGAACAATTGAGGAAAGAGATAATTTGCAAGTGTTTTTCACCAAAATACTCTCTTACAATTTAGAATTACATTAACTTCAATTGGAAGTCATCTGCATACTTGATATGCTCAAATGAAAAAAATATTATAACTAAACAAGATAGTGTTTTAAAAATATGCTCCTCAGAGCATAAATATGTTAATTTTTTAACTTTCTGGGCATAAAGTTATTGACAGCTATTTTCAACTCATTTACTTTGTCATATAACCTCACTGATTAGCTACTTTGGGACTTAGCTTCTATAGGATAAATGACAGAAATCACTATTGCCCATTGTTACTGCCTTTATGGCATATCAGCTACAGGGTGAGGAATATTGTCATATATCAGCCAATTCCATAAAAAAGTGTATAAGGCCTTTGGTTATCTTGCTTAACTCTAGTCCAAGATGCCCTTCGTTTAAGGTCATTTCTTCCCATTGTTTCTTAAATGTCTCTCCCTCTGTCTTAGTTTTAGACTAGTTTCATTATACTACCAGTTTCTAATATGTTGGTTTTTTATTCACTATTTGATATATTTGTTTTAATATATGTTCTTGTTTTAGCAGGTAAAAGAATCATAACAAATGTTTTTAAAAGAACATTATTATTCTTTAATAACTGTCTTTTTATGCATTTTGCATGCCAACTTTTTTCATTAACATCTTGGGTATTTTATAAAAAGAGGGAAAGCTCAATGTTTAACAGTAGCTTTTCTAGGAGCTAAATTAAATATTAACAATCTCCTTCCTTCACCTTCCCATCCCTCAAGAATGGTGAATATCTTAACTTTGGCCGCATCCTTGAAAGCTTATGGTTATTCATAGTCTAACAAAACTAGGGTCACCAAACTTGGCAGCAGAAATAATCTAGTCTTACTGTGATAACTACCCAATTACTTTATTATTTTTCCAGTTGCAGTTCAAAATGTTTTGTGGAAATATTTTTTGCTGTTTGTGATTTTCAAAGCTTAGAGGGGAAAACAAACTTTCCAGTGTTGGAGAGCACTGAATAGTTTATGAATTGTGTAAAAGAGTCAGATTTCAATGCAATTATCTTTTCCTAGACATTTATCCAACATTAAAAACCTATGATTATAAAAAGTAAAGGCTTAAAGTATATTTCAACCACAGCTAGGAAATGTAAAGTTAAATCTAGCTTGTGTGAGTTCAAACCCATCTAATTTGTGTAAATTCTACAGATTTTAATTGGTGGCCAGTTTTCATAAATGGTGCTTAAAAATTGGTGCTGATAGCATAGATAGTTATGCCTCTGTTATCCAGATAGTTTCAGAATTGTTTCCTTATAAATGTCAATGCAAGTTTCTTTATTTTAAAATAACAGCTTTTAGGTTGGGCGCAGTGGCCCATGTCTGTAATTCCAGCACTTTAGGAGGCTTAGGCAGGTGGATCACTTGAGGTCAGGAGTTCGAGACCAGCCTGGCCAACACGGTGAAACCCTGTCTCTACTAAAAATACAAAAATTAGCTGGATGTGGTGGCGCACACCTGTAGTCCTAGCTACTCGGGAGGCCGAGGCATGAGCATTGCTTGAACCCAGGAGGCAGAGGTTGCAGTGACCTGAGATCGTGCCACTGCACTCCATCCTGAGTGACAGAGTGAGACTCTGACTCAACAAACAAACAAACAAACAAAAACCAAATAATAATAAGCAATAGCTTTTATAAAGAAAACAAAACCCTGTTTCTTAAATTTCAGTTGTGGCCCACAGACATCATTTGGTTCTTAGGATACTTGTTTTCTCAGCTCTTGTATAAACATTAGCCTTGTAACCTTAATAGATAATTTATTCTGTGTCTGGAATAAAACATACATGTTATTTCCTTATGTGTGTTGTGAAATTGATCAGCACACCTGTACATATAGATTGATACTAATGTAAGTAAATGGAAAGCCAATGGTCAAGCTCCCCTTAAGTGGTATGGAGTTTCTAAGTGACATCTTGAACTCACTAAGAAAAAAGTATGACAAGGACCTTTGATGCATACTCATTTAATTTTACGTATTACATTTTTAATGTGATTATGTGGTCATTTGAATGTGGACTTTTTTAAAATTGGTGACTTTCACATAGTTGACCGCCAATTTTAAACTTAAAAAATGTATATGGAACCAGTCTTCTATTTTCTATTCACTATTATAAAATTTAAAATGCAAATCTCACCAAACCAGTATGCCCTATTGTTTTCTCTGCTGCCAAATTTGGAAGATCTCTGTTTTAAATGTAAATAGCGATTACTAAACTAACTGGTTGCTCTGCATGGATACAGGTTCTGATTTCTTCTTACTCTTTCTATGGATTCTTAGGCTATACAGTGTGTTTCCCTGCATTTTCATGCACCCTTCCTTTTTCCCTGTCACTCCTGGTGTGGATAACTCTTTGAAACTCACTCCCACCCCTTCTCCCACTTTTTCCTTTCCCCAATTTCTGTATGTGCTTATTGGTGTGAAACTCTGGGACATTTAGGCCATACAATAATAGCACTCGACTTGTCCCCCTGTTCCTCCAGGAAAGGAAGTTCTTCAAAGGCTTCTTTGGAAAAGTAAGTTTGATGCCACATTCATGCTTGCTTTATAAGGAGTTACACCCCTAGTGTAGCACTGACATATTTTTTAAAACTAGTACAGCTTTGGTTTCTTTATAATGCAGGAATTGGTTTGATTGTATATGGAAATTAATGAATTAGGAAGTTACTATCCGTGATATTATCAGTGGGTCTACTGATACTAAATCTGATGATTCTAAGAAATTCCAATAAATAGGCTGGACACGGTGGCTCATGTCTGTAATCCCAGCACTTTGGGAGGCCAAGGCTGGTGGATCACCTGAGGAGTTCGAGACCAGCCTGGCCAACATGGTAAAACCCTGTCTCTACCAAAAATACAATACAGGTGATGTGCACCTGTAATCCCAGCTACTCGGGAGGCTGAGGCAGGAGAATCGATTGAACCCAAGAGGTGGAGGTTGCAGTGAGCCGAGATCACGCCACTGCACTCCAGCCTGGGTGACAGAGTGAGACTCTGTCTCAAAAAAATAAAGAAATTCCAATAAATGAATCAAGTAGGTTAAAAGAGGATTATCTCCTCAATAGTAGGTATTAAAATAAATATCATTTGATCTTGTAAACCCTGTTTATATTAAAATATTAGCAATATTTGTAACAAGTGGATTTTACATAATGCCCAATATTCACAGGGAAATAGGAAGAAATATTTGAGTAAAAAATAAATATACCCCAAAGTTTACATTCAGTGCAATTTTTTTTCCAATCTAAATTAAATTTCAGGATAGTAAGTGAAAATGGATAAACTTACCTTTAGGGATCCTGCTATGATTTTTAACCTGCATTGCTAATCTAAGAAAAAGTATCTTAATTATTAGCCTACCAAATATCTGTCATATGTGGAATGTTGTTTATGTAGATGCTTTTCAAATAATGATTATTCAGTGTTCAGATCTCCCTAAATTTAAGAATATATGGGGTGGCTGTACACATATCAGTAAATATATTTCTAAATATATTTTGTGTCCAAGTTTATCCTTGTTTAGTTTTGAGTAAGTGCTAAAACTAATTCAGACTGAGACAGTATGAGAGAAAAATACTGTCATTAGATAACAGTATAAATTACTAAAAATTTATGTGATTAACAAAATCCTACAATTTTTTTTCTACTGCATGGTTTTGTCATTTTGGAACTTTGTTTTAAAGAACAAATAATTTACATTTCCTTCTCAATTAAATGTTTAAATGGAACTCATTTTTGCATTTTCTTGTTCTAACTTGTCACCTTAATACTAGTGTAAACAAATTTGAAGTATTTTGATCTAATGATTTAATTCAGTTACTCCTCTCAATCTGAAATAAAAAGTCAAATAATTTACCCACACATGTCACAATACATTTTTTAATAGACATTTTGGGTCTGAGTCAGATTAATAGGTCCTTAGAATATGGGATACATATCTAGAAAGAATCTTATTATTTCCTGTGTAGCACAGCATTATAAGTAGGGATTATATTTGTTAAGGAAATTGATAATTGTTAAGGACACTTTAGGAAACTTTTTGTGGTGTATTTGTTTTTTCCTAAACAGAGTTTCCGAAAGCAATTACACATCGCCACAATTATCATACAATTTTAACTATTGTTCAAGTGACTAGTTTTAATAAGTCTACTTCAAGCAGCAGATAAGGCTATATACGATAAGCTATATAAGATAAGGCGTCATAGATAAGATGAAGGTCAGGTTATAGCAAATATTGATTTGGTTTTTAGAAAGACAATTGTAAAAGTATATATTTTAGCTGGATGTGGTGGTGCACGCTACTCAGGAGCCTGGAGTGGGTTAAGGAACAAAGCTCTTCCCTCAAAATCAATCCTGAGGTCACAGTATTTATTGCTACGTATAATGGGGCCATGATGCACCTACACTGTAGCTGAGCTGGATCACACTGTGTTGGGTAGCTTTTTCACTGCATTTTTTTTTGCTACATGATGAATTTGTATGGTATAAGAAAGAGAATTATGAATCATCTCACTTAATCCTTAACCCAAAAATAATAATTCTCCAGTTTTACAGTGAGAAAACAGAGGTTTGCAGAGGTTAAATGACCTGACTGAATTCACAGATATTTATAATAAGTGGTAAAAAATGGGATTTGAACCCAAATAATCTGACTTCAGAGCCCACACTCTTAATCATTGTGCTGTATAATCACTTTATTTTCATATTATTTATAAGTGAAGATTTTATCTCAAAAGGTGCTAGTAAGTAAAGAGCTTCTTAGAAACTCACTTTTACTTTCTTTTTTATAGAGTAGTAATTTAACTTTAGATTTTATTTCTAATCAATTACTTTTTATTAGTTAAAGCTTTAAATAATCGTCTTTTTTAGTAGAGACGGGGTTTCACCATGTTGGTTGGCCAGGCTGGTCTTGAACTCCTGACCTCAGGTGATCTGCCCGCCTCGGCATGTGCCTGTAATCCCAGCTACTACTCAGGAGGCTGAGGCAGGAGAATTGCTTGAACCTGGGAGGCAGAGGTTGCAATGAGCCAAGATAATGCCATTGCACTCCAGCCTCGGTGACAGAGAGAGATTCCATCTCAAAAAAAAAAAGAAAAAAAAAATCATCTTTTTTAGTGGTTCAAACTAACATTTTATTTATTTGGAAATATTTAAGTCCTACTGCATGTTGAGCATCCCTTATTTGAAATGTTTAGGACCTGAAGGGTTATGGATTTTGGATTTTTTTTTTTTTTTTTCAGATTTTGGAATATTTGCATATATATAATGAGATATTTTGGGGATAAGACCCAAGCCTAAATGCAGAAGTTATTTGTGTTTTATATATGCCTTATACATATAGCCTGAAGATAATTTTATACAATACTTTAAATAATTTTAGTAATAATTTTATATAATTTTATAATTATTGTATAATTAAATAATTTTGTGCATGAAACAAAGTTCATGTACATTGAACCATCAGAAAGCAAAAGTATCACTATCTCAGCCACCCATGTGGAGTCTGTGGTTGTTTGACATTACCATCATTCCCTACTTTGAATTTATATGCTACTGATAAGCAATCATTTTCTTACATTTATTCACACATAAGTATTTCGCTTTCAAAAAAAAAAAGACATAATGGCTGGGCGCGGTGGCTCCAGCCAGCACTTTGGGAGGCCAAGGGCGGGTGGATTGCTTGAGGTCAGGAGTTCAAGACCAGCCTGACCAACAGGGTGAAATCCCTTCTCTACTGAAAATACAAAAAAAATTAGCTGGGCATGGTGGCACACACCTGTAGTCCCAGCTACTCAGGAGGCTGAGGCAGGAGAATTGCTTGAACCCGGGAGGTGGAGGTTGCAGTGAGCCTAGATCACACCACTGCACTCCAGCCTGGACTATAGAGCAAGACTCTGTCTCAAAAAAAAAAAAAAGACATACCACTAGTAGAGTGAAAAAATAATATGTTCAGAGTAACTGAGCAGCACCGTAGCATCACCAGAATACATATGTCAGCTGTTTAACAACAGCAACAACAAACAATGACAGGCTTTGTCTTCCCCTCTGAGGCTGTGTTTTGATTAAAAGATAACTTACACTGTATTTTTTTTTAACGTAAAAAGAAATATCAGAAGCAGTTGAGGGGCCAGGAAGTGGGTCTTCTAGGGATGAAGTGGCATTCTGCTAGATGGCTTTTTTTTTTTTTTTTTTGAGACAGGGTCTCACTCTGTCACCCAAGCTGGAGTGCAGTGGCACAATGATGGCTCACTGCAGCCTCAAACTCCCAGGCTCAGGGGATCCTCCCAACACAGCCTCTCGAGTAGCTGGGACTATTGGCATGTGCCACCACACTCAGCTAATTTTTGTGTTTTTTGTAGAGACAGGGTTTCACCATGTTGCCCAGGCTGGTCTCAAACACCTGAGGTCAAGTGATCTGCCCACCTCACCCTGCCAAAGTGCTGGGATTACAAGCATGAGCAACTGTGCCCAGCGTGCTCGATGGCTTATGTGTTGTATGCCTACTTTTTGTTGTTGTTGTTGTTGAGACAGAGTCCCCCTTCATCACCCAGGCTGGTGCAGTCTCGGTCACTGCAACCTCTGCTTTCTGGGTTCAGGTGATTTTTTGCTTCAGCCTCCCAAGTAGCTGGGACCACAGGCGTTTGCCACCATACCCGGATAATTTTTGTATTTTTAGTAGAGACAGGGTTTCACCATGTTGGCCAGGCTGGTCTCGAATTCCTGACCTCAAGTGATCAGCCTGCCTTGGCCTCCCAAGGTGCTGGGATTACAGGCATGAGCCACAGCACCCAGAATTCTTTTCTTATGTTATTGGGGAAAATTTTTTTTTATGTCATGGTGATTTTATACTAATATATAATTTTTTACAGTGAGTCATTTAAAGAGTTTGGAAAACAGAGAGGGGCAAGTATTACCCATGATCTTACCCAGAATGTGCTTTTAAATGATAATTTTTTCTTTAATTTGGAATCTTTTGAATCTTTCAAGTTGCCATCACTTAATTCATCTCCACCCTAATCTACGAGAAATAGACTGGTGAGAGAGACTTGATTTATTGAGTTTGCTAGGTCAATTGTGGTTTGATGAAACCTCAAAATGAAGCATCTTACAGAACAGTATATGTTACGGAGTTTTTATCCAGTACAGTTCCTCATAAATTTTGATACTTTGTTATTCTTTGAATCATGTATGATTTGATGATCCAGGATAAATAGAACAACAGTAATCAAGAAGTGTTTTTATTAAACACTTTTACGTGAAAGTAAGTAGATAGAAGAATTGTTTGCCCCGATTCTGAATTTATGACTCATAGCCAGGAAAACCTTCTTTTCCGGAAGTTGCCTCTTGGACCTGACCACCATCACTTCCCTATTGTTGCATCACCAGCTGACAGGAGCAGTGTCTCCAGAAACTTTAGCAGTAGGGAACAGATAAACCTGGGTCTGTTACAGGCCTGTAATCCATTGTAAGCTTACAAACATTGTAAAAGAGGGGCAAAAAAACGAAGACCTGAAATAACTTTTTCCAAACTAATTAAATTGCTCATTGCCGTGGCCGGGCACGGTGGCTCATGCCTGTAATCCCAGCACTTTGGGAGGCTGAGGCAGGTGGATCACGAGGTCAGGAGTTCAAGACGAGTCTGGCCAGGATGGTGAAACCCCGTCTCTACTAAAAATACAAAAATTAGCCAGGCGTGATGGCAGGCGCCTGTAATCCCAGCTACTCAGGAGGCTGAGGCAAGAGAATCGCTTGAACACCGGGGGTAGGCAGAGGTTGCAGTGAGCCCAGATCATGACACTGCACTTCAGCCTGGGTGACAGAGTGAGACTATGTCAAAAATAAATAAATAAATAAATAAATAGCTCATTGCCTTAGGAAAGCCAATAATGCACTCAGCTTTTTAGGGATTATTACATGCAGCTTCATTCATAGTTGGCTATACTAGGCAAATACTTTATTACCAAATAATTACATGGCACTTAACATTTGAAAAAATGTTTTTATAATTTTAATGTATTTGAGGAACCCTATGAACTAAGTAATCTGTATTCCCATTTTATGAAGAAACTGACTCAACATAGAGACAGGAAATATTCTTAGGCCACCCTATTAGATCTCTTTTTAAAGCCATTTACTTGTATTTATATAGAGCTTTATAGTTTATTATGTGCTTTGACCTACTTTCTAATTTGCCATTCATAACAGTTCAGTGAATTGGACAGGGTAGTTCATGAAACTGCATTTTACAAATGAATAAACAGAAGCTCAGAGAGTTCACCCAGCTAATACTAAATGGCAGTGCCTACACTGAAAGCAAGGTTTTCTGAAACTTAGTGCAAAGTTCTTTCATCTACCCCATGTTGATGTTCTGTCATTCAAAAAGCATTCCTCTGCTTTCCTCGGGTATGCCTTAATTATAATGAATGGAGAAGTGTCTAATGCAGAGGACGCTAGACAGCCCAATGGCCTGAATACTTCCACAAACATGGATTGTATGGCCTGCACACAGTTTATAAATTTGAATTAGTTGCAAATATTTTAAACATTGAGAACTTTCAATAAATATCCTACTTTTCAGTAGGACATTTATCTTAAGAATTAGCAGACCTGGCAAAACAATATGCTTTCTGTGTGGCAACAGTTTCCTGACCTGAGTAGCAGCTATGCCCTTTGCCTATTCGCCACAATCCCTGCAACTCCCTGTTGTCCCTGCTTCACTCATTTGTTATGTGCCTTTAATTCTTGTAGGCATTTGAGTTTGTGAACTCCTCTCTGGGTTATGTCACTTTGATTTATTTTTCTTTGTAGCAACCACTTCTGACTGTATAAAAATCACCAAAAATATTATAATATCTGTTCTAACAGATCCTGTTAATATACTGCCAAATATAGTTTTTCAAGTTTTTATGTTTTTACAATTGCTAAATGGCACCATTAGAAATGGTTAAGTTTTAGAGAATGCATGGTTGAAAAGTAATATGTTGTTATGTTGTTTTAACCTAATTCCTGAGAGTAAAGGATTTCATGGCATTTATGACTCCACTCTTGAATTAGTATATTCAAATCTACATTCTATTTTATATTTCCTAAATTTTCTCCTCTATGACAACTTGTACTTAGTGCTTATCTTCATTCTGGATCCTATTTTTATTATTATTATTATTATTATTATTATTATTATTATTATACCTTAAGTTCTGGGATATATGTGCAGAACATGCAGGTTTGTTACATAGTTATACATGTGCCATGGTGGTTTGCTGCACCCATCAACCTGTCATCTAGGTTTTAAACCCCGCATGTGTTAGGTATTTGTCCCCTTGCCCCCAACTCTCTGACAGGCCCCAGTGTGTGGTGTTCCCCTCCCTGTGTCCATGTGTTCTCATTGTTCAACTCCCAATTATGAGTGAGAACAGGTGGTATTTGGTTTTCTGTTCCTGTGTTAGTTTGCTGAGAATGATGGTTTCCAGCTTCATCCATGTCCCTACAAAGGACATGAACTCATTCTTTTTTACGGCTGCATAGTATTCCATACTGTATATGTGCCACATTTTCTTTATCCAGTCTGTCATTGATGGGCATTTGGGTTGGTTCCAAGTCTTTGCTATTGTGAATAGTGCTGCAGTAAACATACATGTGCAAGTGTCTTTATAGTAGAATGATTTATATTCTTTTGGGTATTGGATCCTATTCTTTAAAAGTGCATCTGTGCTCATATATTGTTTCCCTCCCATTCAAGGGATGAACTATCTGTGTTCCTCACAGAGGCCAACTCCTCCACCAGATTCTTCTTATTCCAACTCTTACTTATTCTGGCAATGCTACCCCCTCTCCCCTCTATAATCAGTTTTCTTTCTCTAGTGGATCATCCATTAGCATAAAAATATACCATCTTCTTTTTAAAAAAAGGTTTCTTCTTGGTACCCTCAGTTCCTTCTTCTGTTGAACCCATTTAATCATCTCCACAACTTTTACCTCTGCCACCCCACCACGGCTGCCCTTATCTTCTTTTGTATTACTATTCCAGTAGTCCTATCGCCTTACTCAGACTATCAGCAGCAATTCACATAGCCCATCTCTCACTCCCCTTTGAAACACTATTCATTTGGAGTTCAGGGATCATACTTTCCCAGTTCTCCCCTTCGTCTGTGGACTCTTCTCAGCCTACACCTGTTAATGATCTCATCCACAGTGTGATGGCTTTAAATATCATTTATGTAATATATGCTGATGGTTTTGAAATTTATATCTCCATACATCTCCCCTGAACTCCATAATGGTATTTCCGTCTTACAAGCAATATAGCATAGGAATCAAGGTCCCAGCCTTTGGGGCCAGATTACTTGCATTTACTAGCTTTGCGATTAATGCCTACTTCATGTGATTGTTGTGAAGATTAGATGAATAAATATGAGTGAAGAGCACCAAATGGCCTGTTTTGGTAGATAGGTGTCAATATCATCATTATTAAACTTTTTCTCTTCGATATCTGCTAGTCACCTCACACTTTAATATGTCACAAATCAAATTCCCCCAAGGAGAGAAGGATCTTTCTCTCCTAGTCTTTCCCAGTCTCAATATACAGCATCTCTGTCCCTATGCTCTAGCCAAACCCTGGATTTGACCTTGACTTCTCTTTTTCTTATACCCTACATCCACTCCATCAACAGTTCCTGTCTGCTTCAGCCTTCAAGAACCTAATCAATTCTCACTATCTCCACCACTCCTACCCTGGTCCAAGCCAGCATCTCCTCTTATCTGAACCATTGCAGTAGCATCCTACTAGCATCCTACTACCCCTGCTTTCATTATTGTCCTCCTGCCATCCCCTCTTGAGAGATCAACCCGAGTGATCTTTTTAAGACAGAGGCCCGGCCGGGCGCGGTGGCTCACGCCTGTAATCCCAGCACGTTGGGAGGACGAGGCGGGCGGATCACGAGGTCAGGAGATGGAGACTATCCTGGCTAACACGGTGAAACCCCGTCTCTACTAAAAATGCAAAAAAATTAGCCGGGCGTGGTGGCGGGCGCCTATAGTCCCAGCTACTCGGGAGGCTGAGGCAGGAGAATGGCGTGAACCCGGGAGGCGGAGCTTGCAGTGAGCCAAGATCGTGCCACTGTGCTCCAGCCTGGGCAACAGAGCAAGACTCCGTCTCAAAAAAAAAAAAAAAAAAAAAAGACAGAGGCCCGATTATGTTGCTTCACTGTCCCATGTCCTCCAGTAGCTTCCTGACCTACTCAGAGTAAAAGCCAGTCTTTTAGGCCTTGTAGGCCATTGCATATGAATCCCCTCTTTTTCCTCTTTTATCTCCTCCTAGCCTTCCTCTTGCTCCCTCTGTTCCAGCCACACTAGCCTCCTCAGTATTCCTTAAACAAACCAGGCACGCTTTCACCTCAGGGCCTTTGTACTTGCTGTAACCTCTAGTCTGGAACGCACATCATCCAGATATATGTGTGGCTCACTTCCTCATCTCTTTCCCTTCACTCAAAAGCCCCATTCTCAGGCATTTACTGACAACTTCTTAAAAAATCCAAACACCACTCTCCCCCAGACACACACACACTCCCAATTCCTAGCTATTTTTTTTTTTTTTTTTAAAGACAGAGTCTCACTCTGTTGCCCAGGCTGGAGTGCAGTGGCGCAATCTCGGCTCACTGCAAGCTCCGCCTCCCGGGTTCATGCCATTCTCTGGCCTCAGCCTCCCGAGTAGCTGGGACTACAGGTGCCCGCCACCACACCCAGCTAATTTTTTGTATTTTCAGTAGAGACAGGGTTTCACTGTGTTAGCCAGGGTGGTCTCAATCACCTGACCTCGTGATCCACCCGCCTTGGCCTCCCAAAGTGCTGGGATTATAGGGGTGAGCCACCACGCCTGACCCCTAGCTTTATTTTTATCTGATAGGGTTTATCACTGTGTGTCATACCATACATTTTACTTGCTTATCTCTTCCTCACTGAAATGTAAGCTCTGTGAGGACAGTGATCTCCACCTGTTTTGTTTACTGCTGAATCTTCAGTACCTAGAATAATTTGTGGTCCATAGTAGCTGCTCCAAAATATTTGAATTAATGCGTAAAGGAATGAATGAGAAATGTACTGCTCAAGTTCACCCTGTTGTGGGAGGAATCAGATAGGTAAAGACATGGTTACCAAATTGTGTGACAGTAACAGGTGCTCCAGGAGCAAAAAGGAAGAGTGAATGTGAAAGGTTGTAATGAAGGCTTCTAGGAGGAGATGACACCTAGGGCTGAGCCTAAAAACTATGAATTCCAGTTAAACTAACTTAGAAGAGAAAGAGATTTCAGACAGAAGGAACAGCACTATCAGGGACATTGGGATGAGAGAAAACATGTTCCACACTCATTCATTCATTCATTCATTCAACCTAGGGGTGTTGAGAAGGAAACAGAAGATGAGACCCAGATTTCGTTCATGGATGACCAAGGGGTTGGTGGAATCACTCATTGTGAGAAGGGATAAATTTGGTTTTGGACAGGTTGAATTTGAGATGCCTCTAGAATTTTCATTTCAGCTACTATATACCTTTGAAATATGAACTTAATATTGGAATAATCCCTAGGTCTCCCCTCCCCCAATTGAAGTGATTTGGCAAACTAGAAGAGCTAAATTGCCTCCCCAAAATCTCTCCTTTACTGTGTAGTTCATGACATGCTCCATCCTTGTGTTTTCCTAAAAGCCTTTAAGTGCCCCTCTCATTTAAGAAAGTACAGGAATAATGAACCTTAGTGTCTGAGACTAAAAGTTATTGTACTCTTCCTGAGCACAGTACAATCTCAAATCCTGAAGAAAGTTGTGTTTCTGTCCTTTCACTGCTTTGTTCTTTGGGGTATATTCACTGGATTTTGGAATTATAAGACAAAATTTATTGATTACACCATTCTGTTCAGAAATTCAAATATTAAATTATAGACTTCAAGGCTTTTCTTTTCTGATTTAAAAAGCAATGAAGCTGGGTTTCCTCTGAAAAAAGTCTCGTTTGTTTATTACAAGGCACACTGTATCATGGTTCCCTGGTTTATATATCACCATTACTCTGTAATGCCTGCCTCTGTGTAGATGTGACGGAAAGACTGACCAGTGATTCTTTACACATTGGGAACCTTTGAAGACCTCTTTGGTTTGTAGCTGAAGGAACTTTGCACAGTAGAATTGCAAATCACTGTTGTTCTGAGAGTGACTTGCTCTGCCCTAATTGGTCTGTTTGCTGCTGTTGCTTCTTAATATTTCAAAGCTATGCAAAATGATGTTTCCATGTGTCTTTATAGCATTTCTTCACTTCAGCTTACATTAGAACATCTGCTTAACCCTTTTGCTCTTACCTAGCGTATGCCCGCAGAGCTGTCTTGCCTCCAAATGTCATTTTTATTTTTGTTAATTAATGGCATGCTCTTATCTCACTGGTGATCTTGGGGATCATAGAATTTTAGAGTTGGATGGCACCTTAAAATAGGTAGGATATAAATACATTTGTCAGAAAAAAAAAAGAAAATGAATTCGGGGACACAGTTCCAACAGGTCTAATATTTCAGTATAATGAATTATCTTTCCAAGAAGATTCAATTAATTATAGAGATTGTGATTGTATCAGATGTCGCAAACTATGGCCCACTACTGTATTTGTTTTTGTAAATAACATGTTATTGGAACACAGTCATGCCCATTTGTGTACATATTGTTATGGCTGCTTTTGTGCAATGATAGAGTTGAGTAGTTGCAATAGAGATCATATGTCCTGAAAAGCCTAAAATATTTTGTTGTCTGGTCCTTCACAAAAAACGGTTGCTAATCCCTAATTTCAACAATTTAAAAACTCATTTCGGCCAGGCGCGGTAGCTCACACCTGTAATCCCAGCATTTTGGGAGGCTGAGGTGGGCGGATCACCTGAGGTCAGCAGTTCAAGACCAGCCTGGCCAACATGGTGAAACCCCTTCTCTATTAAAAATACAAAAATTAGCCATAGCTGGGCGTGGTGGCAGGCACCTGTAATCCCAGCCATTTGAGAGGCTGAGGCAGGAGAATCGCTTGAACGCAGGAGGTGGAGGTTGCAATGAGCCGAGATCGCACCACCGCACTCCAAGCATGGGCGACAGAGCAAGACTCTGCCTCAAAAAAAACAAAACAAAACTCATTCCTCCAACTCCAACTCATTTCTCCTAAGGATAACATTAATTATACTGATGAAATAAAAGAGCAGTGTAAGAATCTTTCCACCTACCATGTATATCACCAACTTGTCATTTTCATCCTTTTTCAATTTATTTTTAAAAAGTGGTTTCAGCTGGGCATAGTGGCTCACATCTGTAATCCTAATACTTTGGGAGGCTGAGGTGGGAGGATCACTTGAAGCCAGAACTTGAGACCAGCCTGGGCAACATAGCAAGACCATCTCTATAAAAATAAAAAAGTAGCCAGGTGTGGTGGTACTTACTTGTGGTCTCCCAGCTACTCAGGAGGCTGAGGTGGGTAGATGACTTGAGCCCAGGAGTTTGAGGCTGCAGTGAGCTGTGATCACACCACTGTGCTCCAGCCTGGGTGTCAGAATAAGACCCTGTCTCTAATGAAAAAAGAAAGAAAGAAAGAAAGAAACAGTGGTTTCTACTTAAAGAAACAAAGCCTGGAGATAGGTAGATAGCAATTGGTTATTTCAGTTGCCTTTTACTGTACGTAGCTTTTATATTTAGGAGAAAGTCATCTTACAGTGTGCTGAGCTTGTTACTATTTCTGTGCCATTTTCCATTTTATGTTCCTTCACCAATTTTTTTCGTGTTAAGATTACCTGTGCATTTCTCTTCTGGTACAAGTTTCCTGATTTAGTAATTTGTAATAGATCCACTGTATGTTGCTATTTTCTTCAGTGTCAGAACCTGCTTAGTTGCTATATTGGTTTATATCTACCCATAATAAAAGGTTTTAAGGAAGATAATAATTTTAAAATACTAAGCTGGATATTTATAGTGTAGAGTAATTACTTGAGAAAGTTATACTTTCATTTTTCACTTTTGGTTAGCTTGATCCTTCTGCTCAGATTTCACCAATTTAAATTCCAAGTTACTAAAGTTCTGTCCATGTTAGATCGGTTTTCTTTGAAAAAAAAAGGATTTTTGTCTTTATTGTGAAACTTTTTCATGATACATTTGTCAGTGTGAATTCTACCTATAACTGAAATTATTATTAAAGTAGAAAGTGTTAGAGCAGCGATGATAAAATAATTCTGAATGTCTGAACATCTGTGTTGCCACTTCCACATTTTTATTAGTTCCTGAAGCATGTTTTTTTTTTGTTTTGTTTTGTTTTGTTTTTGAGATGGAGTCTCGCTCTGTCACCCAGACTGGAGTGCAGTAGTGTGATCTTGCTTGGCTCACTGCAACCTCTGCCTCCTGGGTCCAAGCAATTCTCCTGCCACAGCCTCCAGAGCAGCTGGGACTACAGGCGCATGTCACCACGCCCGGCTGATTTTTGTGTTTTTAGTAGAGACGGGGTTTCACCATGTTGGCCAGGATGGTCTCAAACTCCTGACCTCAGGTGATCCACTGGCCCTGGCCTCCCAAAGTGCTGGGATTACAGGCATGAGCCACCATGCCTGGCCAGCATGTTGTCTTTTTAAAGAGGTGTTTGTGCCACTAAGATGTATGTAAATTCTTTTTTTTCTTTGTTTCTTTCTTTTTTGAGATGGAGTCTCACTCTGTTGCCCAGGCTGGAGTGCAATGGTGCGATCTCAGCTCACTGCAACCTCCACCTCCCGGGTTCAAGGGAGTCTCCTGTCTCACCCTCCCAAGTAGCTGGGATTACAGGCACCTGCTACCACACCCGGCTAATTTTTATATTTTTAGTAGAGATGGGGTTTCGCCATGTTCGTGAGGTTGGTCTCGAACTCCTGACGTCAGGTGATCCACCCTCCTCGGCTTCCTCCCAAAGTGCTGGGATTATAGGCTTGAGCCACTGTGCCCGGCCTGTATGTAAATTCTACATTTGATATTTAATGTAGTTTTTTTTCAGTCCTTTGATTAGTTAACTGCGGCCTGATGGCCTAGGGTACTGGTTTCAAGTAGACAGTTTTAGGGCAGACAGTCTTCTCTCAGCCATGTTTATCTTCTTTTCTTAAAAGTGCTCAGAAATCTTAGTTTATATGGTCAGAATGAAAGACTCAAGTTTACAAATAATATGGAAGTATTGGCCAGGCGCAGTGGCTCATGCCTGTAATCCCAGCACTTTGAGAGGCTAAAGTGGGCGGATCACCTGAGGTCAGGAGTTCGAGACCAGCCTGGCCAACATGGCGAAACCTCATCTCTACCAAAAAAAATACAAAAAAATTAGCTGGGTGTGGGGCCATGCACCCATAATCCCAGCTACTCGGGAAGCTGAGGCATGAGAATCACTTGAGCCCAGGAGACAGAGGTTGCAGTGAGACTAAATTGCTCCACTGCACTCCAGCCTGGGCGACAGAGTAAGACTCGTCTCAAAAAAAAAAAAAAAAAAAAGAAATGTGGAAGTATTGCAACTATAGAATTTGTGAGAGGAAGGCTGGGCTTAATTTCAGCTATAGGCATCTCTAATCATTAATATTTCAGTACCTGACTTAAATAACTATAATGTGGCAAACTATAATGATGTACAAGAACCCACACCCAGAAGTATGAACAAATACAAGAATTCGTATTATCTGTTTTCTTCCCCTCTTCAGAGAGATCAGAGGCCATGAAATATGACAAATATGATTCCTTACTGATACATTAGTACAATACTATAAAATTATTAAGGCCTATCTCAAAAAGCACAATTTTTTTTATTTTTTTTTATTTTTGAGATGGAGTCTCGCTGTGTCACCCAGGCAGGAGTGCAGTGGCGTGATCTCAGCTCACTGCAACCTCTGCCTCCCAGGTTCAAGCAATTCTCCTGCCTCAGCCTCCTGAGTAGCTGGAATTACAGGCACGTGCCCCCACACCTGGCTAATTTTTTGTATTTTTTAGTAGATATGGGGTTTCAGCATGTTGGCCAGGCTGGTTTCGAACTCCTGGCCTCAAGCGATCCACCTGCCTTGGCCTCCCAAAGTATTGGGATTACAGACATGAGCCACCACACCCGGCCACACATGTTTTTATAACCATATAATTGGGATGTGTGTGGTGATTTACACCTGTAATCCCAGCACTTTGGGAAGCCAAAGCAGGAGGATCGCTTGAGCCTAGGAGTTCAAGGCTGCAGTGAATTATGATTATGTCACTGTGCTCCAGCCTAGGCAGCAGGGCAAGACCCTGTCTCTACAAAAAATTGTTTAAAAATTAGCTGGGTATGGTAGTGCACGCCTGTAGTCCCAGCTACTGGGGAGGCTGAAGTGGGAGAATTACTGGAGCCCAGGAGTTCAAGGCTGCAGTGAGCTGTCCTGTGCCACTTGTATGGCAGCCTGGGCAACAAGGCAAGACCCTGTCTCCAAACAAACAAGCATATAATTGGGCCAAGAAAATGTTACATTTCCCTGAATATTGTAAGGAGACTAACTGGAGAACAGTCCCATTCTAAACTGACCTTTTATTTTTCCCTTCTTCAGTCTTCCAACCTTGAAGTAGTCCTATCTGTTGCCTCAGATACTGAACACTGCAGGCTACAATTATACAATGAGCAGATTGATTAAACTGCAAATTTAAATATCTTAGGATTGTCAGTGCCATTTGGCAATGTTGTATATCACTGGTCAGCTGTCTCCTGTTTCCTACAACAGATATTTAGCGTATTTTTTCTTTCAACAAATATTTCTTGAACTGCTACTCTGTTCCAGATGTTGTTCAAGTTCCAGGGATACAGCAGTGAATGATAGATGGAAGAAACCTTGCCCTCATGGAGCTTACCTTCCAGCAAAATACTAAATGTTACATGAGGGTTGGTTAAATATGAGCAGTTACTGTTGCTGGTGAATGACTCTTCTACCAATTTGCCTGGAACAGCCCTATTATAACACCCATTTATCAGTTTTAATAGTCATCTCTCCTTTTTTTTATTGTACTTTAAGTTCTAGAACAATGAGAACACTTGGACACAGGTAGGGGGACATCACACACCGAGGCCTGTTGTGGGGTGAGGGGAGGGGGGAGGAATAGCATTAGGAGATATACCTAATGTAAATGACGAGTCATCTCTTTCATTTTCAAAGGGTTCCCAGTTTGTAGAGTAAATTATATGACCGTCCTTGTTCTAAACCTTTCGTATACATTAATTCGTTTAATCTTCACAGTAACCCTATGAGGTATATGAGATTATTAACATCATTATACAGATGTAGAAAGTGAAGCATAGAGAAGTTAAATTAACCTGCCTTTGATCATACTAGGAGTAACTTGCAGAACCAGAATTCAAATCCAAACAACAGCTTGGTTCCTAGTCACCGTACTAGACTGCCTCCATACTACTGTTCTAAATCTTTAATATTTTACTCTGCCTGTCGTCTTTCCTCTCCCCAGCAAAGTAAAGCAGGTAAATTAAAACCATAAATTCACAGATGAATTTATGGTTCTCCAGAGTGAATTTCCTCCACTTGCTACTCCCTCCTTTACAAATCTGTCTTCATCTCTACTCGGCCTCACTTTATCCCTCCATTTCATAGGAATGGACATCTCTCCTCCTGTCTAAAACTTGTATTCTAGCCCCATCTCACCCTGCATTTTGTTGGACTTTGTTCTCTAAATTACTCTTCTCTTTTTCTTGGGCCTTCCGTTTCCATTGTTCCACTGGCTTTTCCCATTCAGCACGTGAAGAGGATGTCATTGTTGAAAATGTATATCACTCTTTTAAGAATTCTGCTTTACTATTGGGAGAGGTTTTTAAAAGTTTATTAATAATATAATGATGATAATGGCTACTAATTGTTACCCTATTTAAATTCCAGGTACTGTATATAATATCTAATCCTTTTAACAAACTACAAATATTTTACGGATGAAGAGATGGAAGCTCAGTGGGCTACATAACTTTCTTAGCTTATGAATAGTAGCGCTGAATTCAGTCTCATATTTGTCTTAATCCAAAGCCCATTCTATTTCAAGTATAACATGCTAGTTTATCACAATTCTTACAGACTTCCCTTGATGCTCTGCCTGTGTCTTATTGCCCTGCAGCTCTCCTTTTTATAGAAAAGCTTTGTAAAAAAAAGTATTTAATACTTGTAGACTCTTCTTGCCTTTCATTTACTTCTCGACCCATTCTAGTCTAACTTCTACTTCTGTATCACGATCCTCCAAAGAAACAGAACCGCTAGGAGATATGTCATATTATATGACATATATATGTCATATCATATATATGACATGACATATGTCATGTCATATATATGACATATATGATACATATATGACATATATATACATATTATCTATTTTAAGAATTCACTCGTGATTGTAGGGGCTGGCAGGCTGGCAAGTCTGATACCTGTAAAGCAGGCCAACGGGCTGGAAACTCAGGCAGGGTTTCTTCTCCAGGAAACCTCAGTTTTTGCTCTTGAGGCCTTCAACTGATTGGATGAAGCATACCCATACTACCAAGGCTAATCTCCTTAACCTAAATTCAATTCATTGTAATAATATTTACAGAGTAGCTTCTAATTTGCCCATAGAATCAAGATCAAAGTCCTTATCAGGAATAGAAGGCCTTCTGTGATTAGGCCTTTCCTACTCTATCTCCCATTACGCCTTTCCCATTGCCAAGTCTACTTACCAAGCCATACTGAAATATTTATAGAGCCCCAGACTTGCCATGTTGTTTGCTTCCATGTCCTGTACTGCTGTTTCTTCTGCCTGGCATGTCCAGTACCTCTGTTACTTCCCTGTCTCCCTACCCCTACCTAAGCATCAAGAAAAATTATTCCAGCACCCAGTTCAGTCTTCTCCTTTGTATAACCTTCCCCAATTCCACAAAGAGATTTGATTATACCTTTTTTCTGACATCATTGTACCTTGTTCTCAGCTCTACTGTAGCATTTACCTACGGTATTCTTTATTTTTTGTCTGATTGTTGCCTTTCAGTAACCTTCCAGGTATTTCCACTGGCTGGCATATTATAGGCACTCATCAAATTTATGGTGGTGGTGGAGATGATGAGGCCGAGTGGATCACAGGTTATTTCAGTAAGGCCATGTCCTCATATCAAGTTTTCCTGGGCTTGGATCACTTATAGAGGAGAATGGTAGTTCTAAAAGTCTCCCTTGTCGCTTCTAGAGGCTGCTGCGCCAACCTTAGCACCAGATTCCTTTTGATCTATACTTTTTATGATAATCTGATACCTATTCTCAGCCTTCATATTGCTTTTGTTTTATTTTGCTGTATCCTTGAGGCAGTTAAAAAGAAAGGACACTGTTAAATTACTATTACATTCCATCACAGGAGGAATTATGCATCAGCTTGTTCTCATGTGATTCTCATGTGCCAAAAAGTATTTTCTGAGCCAATAAAAAGAAAATTATTTTTTCAGTAGTTTTTAAATCTTCCTGTGTCCCCAAAATGTCTCCATGAATTTAATGTCAAATTAAAAACCAAGCCAAGGCTGGGTACAGTGGTGCACACTTGTAGTCCTGGCTACACGTGGGGCTGGGACAAGGGGATCACTTGAGCCCAGGAGTTCAAGGCTGTAATGCTTTATGATCATACCTGTGAATAGCCACTGCACTCCAGCCTGGGCAACACAGTGAGACCTCGTCTCTAAAATTATTAGAGGCTGGGCACAGTGGCTCACACCTGTAATCCCAGCACTTTGGGAGGCTGAGGCAGGCGGATCACTTGAGGTCAGGAGTTCCAGACCAGCCTGGCCAACATGGTGAAACTCCGTCTCTACTAGAAATACAAAAATTAGCCGGGCATGGTGGCAGGTGCCTGTAATCCCAGCTAGTCGGGAGGCTGAGGCAGGAGAATCACTTAAACCCGGGATGGGGAGGTTGCAGTGAGCCAATATCGCATCACTGCTCTCCAGCCTGGGCGACAGAGTGAGACTCTGTCTCAAGAAAAAAAAAAAATTATTAGGAAAAATGTCTGTGTTAACTCTGAGAGAACAAATAATGGCTTTTTAAAGACTGTTAATAGAATAATGAAGACTTACTGTGTTTTTAACGTGAAAATTTTAGGTGACCAAGGGTCCTGCTATAACATACTGGGGGTCATAGGATAGTAGAATGGTCAACATCTCAATTTAGACATGTTACTTCCTGCTCTAAATACACTTGTGGACGCTACTTGTGGTGTAACTCCTTATGTATTTAATAATTATCTGACTCTGGTTTTCTTGGTTGATTTTTTTAAATGGGTGAAGAATCTAGTTATGAATTCTTTGCCCTTTATGGAATGTGATATCTTGGTTTTTATTCCATCTGTTACTTCCCTTTTACTTAATTTTATCTTATTGTTTTGCGTTGTGTTTCTAAAATAATGGCTTTGGCTTGTTTTTTCCTGAATGTTTCTGCAGTTTGGTTTGAGTATCTGGGTTTGGGCACCACTCCTGAACTTGGACTCCATCTGTACTTGTGACTTTTGGAAGGCAGAGTCAGTGTTTTCTGTGGAAGATGACATTTTTTTAATATTATATATGTGTATCTCCCCCTCCCCTTTTTGGTTTCTCTTAAAAGACTGGAAAGAAAGCAGTTAAAGCAGTTCTGTGGGTCTCAGCAGATGGACTCAGAGTTGTGGATGAAAAAACTAAGGTAAGATTCTTTATTTTTATTTTGATTTATTTTATTTTTTTTGGAGATGGAGTTTCACTCTTGTCACCCAGGCTGGAGTGCAATGGCACGATCTCGGCCCACCGCAACCTCCACCTCCCAGGTTCAAGCGATTCTCCTGCCTCAGCCTCCCTAGTAGCTGGGATTACAGGCATGTGCCACCATGCCCAGCTAATTTTGTATTTTTAGTAGAAATGGGGTTTCTCCATGTTGGTCAGGCTGGTCTCGAACTCCTGACCTCAGGTGATCCGCCCACCTCGGCCTCCCAAAGTGCTGGGATTACAGGTGTGAGCCACTGCGCCCGGCCTCGCCTGGCTAATTTTTGTATTATTAGTAGATACGGGGTTTCACCATGTTGGCCAGGCTGATCTCGAACTCCTGACCTCAGGTGATCCACCGGCAGCCTCCTAAAGTGCTGGGATTACAGGAGTGAGCCACCACGCCTGGCCTAAGGTAAGATTCTTATAAGCTTAAATGGGACTGCTCATATGTTTTTTAAAATCTCTAATGATCAAATATAATACCCTTAAGCTGTTGAAGGGTATTATATTGTTGAAGCTTTATCCTTCCACTTAGTCCAAAGTACAATCTCCTGAGAGACTATTTAACGTTCAGGAAACCACTTTAGTTACTCATTTACTTTATGAGAAATAGTATTCTCTCAACATATTGTTCTACATGACATAGCATGTCTAAGGTACTAAGCATTAGCATTTAGTGTTAAGATCTGAGTTCTTTTTTTTTTTTTTTTGAGATGGAGTTTCACTCTTGTTGCCCAGGCTGGAGTGCAGTGGCACGATCCCAGCTCACTGCAACCTCCACCTCCTGGGTTCAAACGATTCTCCTGCCTTAACCTCCCAAGTAGCTGATTACAAACACAGACCACCATGCCCCGCTAATTTTTGTATTTTTGGTACAGATGAGGTTTCACCATGTTGGTCAGGCTGGTCTTGAACTTCCGACCTCAAGTGATCCACCCGCCTTGGCCTCCCAAAGTGCTGGGATTACAGGCATGAGCCACCGCTCGTGGCCTATTTTTGTTCTTATATATTTTTTAATAAGTTTCCACTCTCACAAATTTGATACAATAGATGATAGACTATCCTTTTACCATGTTTTAAAATTAAAAAAAGATGGACTCCACATCTGAAATTTCTTCTTGCTCTGAAGAAAACACTATTTTAAGAAAATGATATTTGAACTAATTAACCTGGCTTTTGACTCAAAACTCAATTTAAGTGACATCTTAAGGACTAGTGAATGGCTCTTTGGTTAACATTTACTTAGAATCCAAATAATATCTCAAATCATAGGTACCATTTTGCATTTGAGAGACAGTGATCCTAAATGCCTAAATAAGAATAGACACACAGCTCTACCCCTAGAAAGCATAGGGTGTTATATAAGTACATTTAATTGTTAATTAAAATTTCCTAGAATACCTAAAGTCAGGAAGAAATTTAACAAGAAGATAATTAAAAAAAAAAAATTCAAATGCCACTGAAAGGGGAGAAAGTCTGGCAGGTAAAAAGCAGTTTTGATAGGCAACTTGCCTGGTAAATTTCAAGTGGTTTAATATAGCTGCATTTTAGTTATTTGACCTTATTACATTGCATACTTTTTTTTAAGTTCAAGAGAAGCAATAGTCTTCACTTTTAGTACATTACTGTTGGAAACAGTGATCATTTTAATTATTTTTTGGAACTTGTGTAGTTTTCATTAGTGTTTGGATGAAATTTGTTATACTTGAAAGCTATGTATTTAATTGTTTTATACAATAGTTGGAAAGTGATATTGCCCCCTTGTGGCTACTTACACCACTGGCATTCATTAGTTTAGTTTTTTCCACACTGAATAGTAGTAATTAGTAGTCATTGGTGGCTTGTCACCATTGGGACCATCTTCCCACCTTGTATTTCACTATAAGCGGGAACTAATACCATGTTGGGATCAGTATTGGTGATAACACCATGCCATGATCTGCACAAATTTTTATGAAACAGAAGCTGAAATCTGAAGCCCTTAACCTTTGAGCAAGAAGCTCTGTCAGATTGCCTTGCTATCCCACCTCTCAACTCATGTCTATCTTGATTCTGATAGTGTTCCTACCTTTTTTTTTTTTTTTTTTTTTTTGAGACAGTGCCTTATACTGTCACCCAGGCTGGAGTACAGTGGCACAGACATAGTTCACTGCAGCCTCAGCCTCCTAGGCTGAGATAATTTTTTTTTTTTTTTTTTTTTTAGAGATGGGTTCTCACTATGTTGCCCAAGCTGGTTTCGAACCCCTGGGCTCAAGCAGTCCTTCCACCTCGGCGTCCCAAAGTGCAGAAGACAGAATTTGAGGCAACAGTAGCCACTAGAAGGTAAAAAGAGAGGCTGGGCGTGGTGGCTCACACCTGTAATCCCAGCACTTTGGGAGGCCAAGGCGGGTGGATCACTTGAGTCCAGTAGTTTGAGACCATCCTGGCCAACATGCTGAAACCCTGTCTCTCCTAAAAATACAAAAAATTCGCTGGGCATGGTGGTGCGTGCCTATGGTTCCAGCTACTTGGGAGGCTGAGGCATGAGAGTCACTTGAACCTAGGAGGCAGAGGTTGCAGTAAGCTGAGATTGCATCATTGCACTCCAGCAGCCTGGGCGACAGAGCAAGACTATCTCAAAAAAAGAAAGTAAAAAGAGAATCCTGGAAATGAGTAAGCCAAAAAGGAGTAGTCCCAAATTCTGTTCATAAATTCTGCCCAAATCTCTGACCCTTTTAGCCATGTAGATTCAAGGCAGACTCCAAATAGCCCAACTAAGGATATAAAAACTGATATTTGATTACCTACGTATGGTGACATGCACCTGTAGTCCTAGCTCCTCGGGAGGCTGAGGCGGGAGGATGCTTGAGCCCTGGAGTTGAGGTTACAGTGAGCAGTGATTGCGCCACTGCACTCCAGCCTGGATGACGGAGCAAGACAGTCTCAAAAAAAGAACAAAAACGCCCTGATGTCTGAGGTGCTGTTCAAAAGATAAGAGTTTTCCATTTGAGTATAATCAAATTAGCTACCTGATAAAACCAAAAATATGACACTTCCAAGGAATGTAACGGAATCCATTCTTTCCACATACAACATTCACAATGACTACAATGCAGTTACTCAGCATACAACAAAACAGACAAGTCTGACTTATTCTCATCAAAATAACAATCAATAAAGACCTAACTTCAAGATGACTCAGATGTTGGAATTAGCAGACAGATTTTAAATGCCCGCCTTCACTATTTGACCAAGAAATAAATGTCTCTTGTATTTGAGTCATTGTATTGTTTTGTGTTTATAGCATCACCACAACTAGTACAGAAAATGGTACACTGAAGTAGACTGCTACCTTAACAGAAATGAAAACAGTGTATAGAAGGCATTATAACTATACTCAGTGACAGAAAGGAAATATGTTCATGTTGAATGAAGAGATAGAAATCTTGGCAGAGAATAGAAACTATGAAAAAGAAACAAATGGCTGGGCACGGTGGCTCGTGCCTGTAATCCCAGCACTTTGGGAGGCCAAGGCAGGTGGATCATGAGGTCAGGAGATTGAGACCGTCCTGGCTAACACAGTGAAACCTGTCTCTACTAAAAATACAAAAAAATTAGCCGGGCGTGGTGGCACACGCCTGTAGTCCCAGCTGCTTGGGAGGCTGAGGCAGGAGAATTGCTTGAACCCGGGAGGCAGAGGTTGCAGTGAGCCAAGATCGCGCCACTGCACTCCAGCCTGGGTGACAGAGTGAGACTGTCCAAAAAAAAAAAAAAAAAAAGAAAAAGAAACGAGTGGAAATTCCACACCTGAAAAATACAGTATCTGAAGTAACTTCACTGGATCGGGTATATATAATGTAAAAAAGCAAGGTGCAGAACTGTGTGTATGTGTGTGTAGTGTTCATTGTGTAACGAAGTTAGCATAAACATGACTATTATATGTATTTGCTTATATTTGGGAATAAACCCAAAGGATTTTTTTTTTATCCAAAGGATTAAAGATACTGATTTACATATATTGTTGAATGTGGAATCTACCATGAAAGAGATGTAAAACTAGAATCAACAAGCATATGCTTTAGAACATGTAGTTGAGAGAGGTATCTGGGCAAAGTGCCTCTTGGGATGTCTGCTGAGTCCAATTCTCAGTATTTAAACTGCTGGACACAGATCTAGGTATTCCATAGCCTAGTTGTATCAGATGTATGGATTGTGCATCATGAAATGAACATCCTGTGTTCTGAGAAGCTCAGATAACCTCATAAGTCTTCTCTTTCTTTGTGTGTCGTATTTTCTAGGACCTCATAGTTGACCAGACGATAGAGAAAGTTTCTTTCTGTGCCCCAGACAGGAACTTTGATAGAGCCTTTTCTTACATATGCCGTGATGGCACCACTCGTCGCTGGATCTGTCACTGCTTCATGGCTGTCAAGGACACAGTGAGTCCAGCAAATATGTATTTCATGATGAGTATTCTCAGTTAGCTGGGCTCTTTCTGGGTTTGCTCAGCCAAGCGGTTTCTACTACATTTTTAACAAGTACTTGGAAGTGCCTAAACTAGCCTACTTTCAGCTCCTTTTATTCAAATAGTTCACACTCTTGATGTAACCCCAGGAGTTGCAACTCACTGAACAAAATGATTGGCTGAAACCAAAGATCATTAAAGGAAGGTAAAAATGGTCTGGTGATAGTGGTTGCTAAACTTTATTTGAAACTTTTAATTATTGGAAGTATTTTCAGGGTTCTTAAATGTATTTGTTGGCTAACATATATGAGTATGGTATTAAAAATGTATTTGCATAGAGACTACTACAAATGAAAGAAGTTGGCTGGGCCTGATGGCTCACCCCTATAATCCCAGCACTTTGGCCAGGGCAGGAAGATCACTTGAGACCACAAGTTGGAAACTAACCTGGGTTACATGGCAAGACCTCATCTTTACAAAGTTAAAGAAAAAATTAGCCAGGCATGGTGGCACATGCATGTAGTCCTAGCTACATTCTACATGCCTTGGGAGGCTGAGGCGAGCAGAACACTTGAGCGTAGGTGTTGGAGGCTACAGTGAGTCATCGTGCCATTACACTCCAGCCTGGGTGACAGAGTGAGACCTTGTCTCCAAAAACAGAACAAAACAAAAAAACAAAACTGAGTTGGAGTATACTTTCAACTATTATAAAAACAGAAATACCGGCCAGGCACGGTGGTTCACACCTGTAATCCCAGCACTTTAGGAGGCCGAGGCAGGCGGATCACGAGGTCAGGAGTTCAAGACCAGCCTGGCCAATATGGTGAAACCCCGTCTCTACTAAAAATACAAAAAAATTAGCTGGGCGTGGTGGTGCATGCCTGTAGTCCCAGCTACTCGGGAGGCTGAGGCAGAAGAATCGCTTGAACCCAGGAGGTAGAGGTTGCAGTGAGCTGAGATTTGTGCCACTGACTCCATCCTGGGTGACAGAGCAAGACTCTGGCCAAAAAAAAAAGAAAAAAGAAATACTGGCCGGGCATGGTGGCTCACACCTGTAATCCCAGCACTTTGGGAGGCCGAGGTAGGCAGATCACCTGAGGTCAAGAGTTCAAGACCAGTCTGGCCAACATGGTGAAACCCTGTCTCTACTAAAAATGCAAAAGTTAGCCAGGTGTGGTGGCGCATGCCTGTGATCCCAGCTACTTGGGAGACTGACTCAGGAGAATCGCTTGAACTCGGAGGCAGAGGTTGCAGTGAGCCAAGATTGCACCACTGCACTCCAGCCTGGACGACAGTAAGACTCCGTCTCAAAAATAAAACAAAAATAGGCCAGGCACGGTGGCTCACGCCTGTAATCCTAGCACTTTGGGAGGTTGAGGTGGGCAGATCACTTGAGGTCAGGAGTTGGAGACCAGCCTGGCCAACATGATGAAACCCTGTCTCTACTAAAAATACAAAAATTAGCCGGCTGTGGTGGCGGGTGCTTGTAATCCCAGTTATTCAGGAGGCTGAGGCACGAGAATCGCTTGAACCCAGGAGGCAGAGGTTGCAGTGAGTCAAGATTGCACCACTGCACTGCAGCCTAGGTGACAAAGCAAGACTCCATCTCAAAAAAAAAAAACAAAAAACAAAAACTAAACAGAAATACTAAGTTACGGTAGAATGAACAACGCTAGAAATTGTTGCATGATAGAAGTTTTGTTTTAAAATAGAGAATAATTTCATTCTTTATGTAAATTACCCAGCATTTTAACATGAAAGACAAGTCTCTTTTAAATGACAATGATTTTACTATAAGTTGAGCATTTCAAATCCGAAAATCTGAAATGCTCCAAAATTCTAAACTTTTTGAGCACCGACATGACACTCAACAGAAATACTCATTGGAGCATTTTGGATTTTGGCTTTTCGGATTTGGGATGTCAGCTTGTTAAGTATAATGCAAATATTCCAAAATCTGAAAAAAATCTAAAATCAGAAACACTTCTGGTCCCAAGCATTTCAGAAAAGAGATACTCAAACTGTATGTACAGCAAGTGTCGAGACAGAATAGGCAGTATAGCCATTCGTGAAGGTTACAGGTCAGTAAAGCTCTTGCCAACGTTTAATCTGGAAGATAAGTAGTGGCCATGGTCTAAAAATTGACCAAAATTGTTTAAAGATCTTTGAGACATTGGTGTAAACAAATGCTAAGAGCTCAGGCTCTGAGTCAGATATGGGTTTCAGTTCTGATTCTGGTTCTTACTAGCTGTGGGATTTGGGGCAAGTTACTTAACATTCTCTGTCTTGGTATACACTTCTATAAATGGAGAAAGTGGTTGTGAATACTAAATTGGATAAAGATTATAAGCACACTTAGCATAGGTTCTGGGCCACATTACTCCAAAAATTTTAGCGAATATTGTGTAAGCTGTCCTTCATTGGTTTGACACAGGTGCTTTGAAATGAGTTGAAGTAACAAAACTGTGCTTTTGTCTTCTGTTTCTCAGACCCTAAGTAAACCACAAACTGGGTATATTTTGCTATCACTACACTTTAAAAATCTGGAGTTCAAGAGTTTCCAGATAATAACTTAAAAACCATTTTGTTGTCAAATAGTGGCCCGGCAGCCTGTTTGAATCTCCTAGGCCAATAGTTCTACTGTATCAAAATCACCTGGAGGACTTGTTTTAAAACATAGATTGCTGGGCCCCATCTCCAGCGTTTTTCATTCAGTGAGTTTGGGGTTGGTACTTAAGAATTTGCACTTAAATGTTCCCAGATGATGCTGTTGGTTGGGGATGAGGTCACTCTTCAACAACTTCTGCCCTAGGCCTAGGAGAAAGAATAAGCAAGCTTCCTTGACCTGTAGCTCTGTCCTTATAATAGACCTGCGTTCAAATGCAAACACATTCTAAGAATCTTTCAGTACTCCTGTTTCATGCTTTAACATCTGGCCTAATGTCATCCTACTGGGAAGTTAGATGGAAACTCATGTGGATTCATAGAGTAATTCTATCAGTCTTTAAATAAGTAGTCAAAAGTTTTTTTAAAAAGTTTAAAAATTTTTAAAAAGTAGTCAAAGGTAGTAAAATCTTAGGGACATAAAGCATTTTAAACCTTACCTGTCCTTATGATAACTAATACTGTCATGCAAAATCCAGTGAGACGACTTGTTCAGAGCCGTGTGTAGGAGCAGCTGCCTACGTGATGTGATTTTGAGAACACCACAAAAGACTTCCTGTTCCCAAATATCTCTTCTCACTGTGAATGATGCCAACAATTATTGTACCATCTCTAGCTTTTTTATTCCACAATTAGCAAAATGGTCTAAAATACAGATAACCCTGCTAAAAATCATCCATTGAATTTATTAAATTGACTCTGGGTAATCCAGTGTATCTATATAAAGCAGTGTTTTGTTTATATACGTCCTCCACTCCTCCCATACACAAACCAGTTTTATCTGCTTAATTCTTTTATAAGTAGACAGTGTGGATGAAAACATGCTTTCACTTTTGCCTGTGTTTGGTTGGGAGGTAGAGTTGGGAATTAGAGCTAGAGGAAGATAGGAAGGGTATGGGGGAAAACCTAAAAGCACGGAGGGCCATAAATGAGGAGGGTTGCTTAGAGGGGGGATTCAGAAAGGGGAGACAGCAAAGCTTTTGTCTCATTGTTAGTTTTGTTTGTTTGTTTGTTTTTTGAGACAGGGTCTCATTATGTCACCCAGGCTGGAGTGCAGTGGCACAATTAGAGCTTACTGTAGGCTTAAGTGATCCTCCCACCTCCCAAGTAGGACCACAGACACACACCACCACCACACTCGACTAATTTTTTCTTTTTCTTTTTTTTTAATTATTATTTTTTTTGAGACGGAGTTTTGCTCTTGTTGCCCAGGCTGGAGTGCAATGGCACGATCGTGGCTTACTGCAACCTCCACCTCCTGGGTTCAAGTGATTCTCCTGCCTCAGCCTCCCGAGTAGCTGGGATTACAGGCATGCGCCATCATGCCTGGCTAATTTTGTATTTTTAGTAGAGACAGGGTTTCTCCATGTTGGTCAGGCTGGTCTTGAACTCCTGACCTCAGGTGATCCGCCCACCTCAGCCTCCCAAAGTGCTGGGATTATAGGCATGAGCCACTGTGCCCGGCCTTTATTTTGATTTTTATTTATTTTTTGAGACGGAGTTTTGCTCTTGTTGCCCAGGCTGGAGTGCAATGGCGCCATCTCAGCTCACAGCAACCTCTACTTCCCGACTTCAAGCAATTCTCCTGTCTCAGCCTCTCAAGTAGCTGGGATTACAGGCACCCGCCACCACATCCGGCTAATTTTTGTATTTTTAGTAGAGACGGGGTTTCGCCACGTTGGGCAGGCTGGTCTCGAGCTCCTGACCTCATGATCCACCCATCTCAGCCTCCCAAAGTGCTGGGATTACAGGTGTGAGCCATCGCACCTGGCCTAATTTTTTTTATTATTTTGGTAGAGACAGAGTCTCACTGTGTTATCCAGGCTGGTCTCAAACTCCTGGGCTCAAGCAATTTGCCCATCTCAGCCTCCCAAAGTGCTGGGATTACAGATGTGAGCCACCATGCCCAGCCTCATTCCTTTTTAATCACTGGAATTATATTTGTTTATCAGAAGTTTTAAGTTTGCACCTTTTTTTCCTAGACATATTAACAGTGCATTAAGCTCCTGAAATTTGCCTTGCCTTTCCAGTAGTTTCTTAGAAGTGGCTGGTAAATATTCCCACTGCTTCCCCAAAGGGCAACTAGAAGCTTGCATGTCAAGGCTTGAAACCTTGCATAGAGTCTTCTAAGCTGTTGGCCAGGGCTGACATGACAGAGCCTAAGTGATAAAGAGTTCTCCATGGCTGCTTACAAAAGCACAGGTTGCTGGTTATCACTTTACCCCAAGGCTTGTAACAGTGAATTGAACCATCATAAGCACTACCTTAGAAAATTTATTCATTTAAATTAATATGGCATACTAATCTATTAAAACAATTTTAAGCTGGAATTTGCAACATCTTGCTTTCATAAAAACAGACATTTGGGCCGAGTGTGGTGGCTCATGCCTGTAATCCCAGCACTTTGGGAGGCTGAATTGGGTAGACCACTTGAGGCCAGGAGTTGGAGACCAGCCTGCCCAACATAGCAAAACCCCATCTCTACTAAAAATACAAAAATTAGCCAGGTGTGGTGGTGCGTGATTGTAGTCCCAGCTACTCAGGAGGCTGAGGCACGAGAAGTATTTGAGCCCGGAGGCAGAGGTTGCAGTGAGCAGAGACTGCGCCACTGCACTCCAGCCTGGGTAACAGTAAGACTCTGTCTCAAAAACAAAACAAAACAAAAGACTTATTTGTATGTAATTGTTAGTAGTGTAATTCTGAAAAGCTTTTAAAATCTGCTCTTACAGGGTGAAAGGTTGAGCCATGCAGTAGGCTGTGCTTTTGCAGCCTGTTTAGAGCGCAAGCAGAAGCGGGAGAAGGAATGTGGAGTGACTGCTACTTTTGATGCTAGTCGGACCACTTTTACAAGAGAAGGATCATTCCGTGTCACAACAGCCACTGAACAAGCAGAAAGAGAGGAGATCATGAAACAAATGCAAGATGCCAAGAAAGGTACAATCTGTTCTACAGTGTGTATTTATGGAATGCAGTTTTTCCCAACAAGGTATTATTTTGAAGCTACCAGGGGTAAATTTTCTCATAATCAAAGAGAACCCTTAGCAATATAAAACCTTATAACAAAGTTGAAAATCTTAAAAACCGCTTCCTTTAGAGTGGCTAGTTTAATGGCTTCAAAAATATTTACTCCATTATAGTAAGCTATCTGAGGAATCAGAGTGCAGTTGAAGAAGCTGCAGAGACATCTCTTACCCCCTTCCTCCCATCCTGAAATACCTTTTTAATTCTGATGTATCTGATCTCTTTGAGAAGCAAATGAATCAAGTACCTGCATCTTAAAGGAAGCAGCAGAGGTCCCAGGGCTTAAGGCTGCAAAGCATCCACGGACTATGATGCTAGCAGAGAGATTTAACAGTAATACTGTTTATATGATATTATTGCTGTTTTTTAGTGCTTTCTAGTCACAAAAGTCTATAGATTTTGAGAGGTAAGCCTATAACTCTTTTTTTCTATAGCCCTGTTAATTTAATTTAGTGTGTGATTTTATAGAGTGTGAGTTTTATTTAGGTACACATGGCATCACAGCAGAAATGCCTGTACAAACATTCAAGTTAGTTGGCAGTCTATAAATGTGAGTTGGGTATATTTTACAACTAAATGATAGGGCTTGAAAATACTTTTGAATTCTTGTATATAAGTAGGGTTAAAACCAACAAGACAAGCACAAACAATTCAAGTTAACTAATAGACATTAATATAATTTTGAGGCCAGGTATAGTGGCTTACAGCTGTAATCTCAATACTTTAGGAGGCTGAGGAGGAAACATCACTTGAGGCCAGGAGTTTGTGACCAGACTGTGCAACATAGACTCTATCCCTTAAAAAAAAAAAAAAAAAAAAAAAAAAAAAAAAATTGCCATATTTGGTGGTGCACATCCGTAATCCTAGCTGCTTGGGAGGCTGAGACCAGAGGATTGCTGGAGCCCAGGAGTACAAGGTTACAGTGAGCTGTGATCATACCACTGCACTCCTCCAGCCTGGGTAACAGCAAAACCCTGTCTCTTAAAAACAAACAAATATATATATATGATAATTTTTTTTACTATAACCTTTTAGTTCTAAACTAGTCATTTTTGTTGTTGTTGTTTTGGTTTGATTTCGGTGTTTTTTTTTTTTTTGAGACAGAGTGTAGTTCTGTTGCCCAGGCTGGAATGTAGTGGCGCAGTCTCCGCTGACTGCCGCCTTCACCTCCTGGGCTCAAGCGATTCTCCTGCCTCAGCCTCCTGAGTAGCTGGGATTACAGGTGAATGCAACCACACCCAGCTAATGTTTGTATTTTTAGTAGAGATGGACTTTCGCCATGTTGGCCAGGCTGGTCTTGAACTCCTGACCTCAGGTGATCTGCCTGCCTTGGCCTCCCAAAGTGCTGGGATTACAGGTGTGAGCCACCGCACCTGACCTTAAACCAGCCCTTTTGGTTAGCATCATTGACTAATACTGACCCAAACAGCTCTAATTCTTAAGCCCCCTCCAAAAAAAAAGCATACATATTTTTATTTGAAATGAAATTATTGATAGTGATTTTTTTTCATTTCTTGTAAATATTTGCACCAGGAAGCCAAAGGGGGGAAAAATCATGCTATCTGTACTAGAAAATTTAACCTGTATTACTGTTATCTAATATGCTTTAGTGGTCTTCAGACTATTCACTAATTAAGCATGTTCTTTAATACCACCAAATAATATTCATTGTTATGCACAACAACTGCAAAGAGATTGAGTCCCAAGATCTACAAAGGATTGTGAGAGTTGGTGGTTGAGATTTGTCACAATCAGAATGGGACTCAACTGGTACCCACAGTCTTACATTTACTCAAATTTAATCCAGTTCAAAATTTTACTACTGCATGCTTTTATTCAAATGAACCACAAATGCATGATTTAAAGACTGCTTTAGGTCGGGCGTGGTGGCTCATACCTGTAATCCCAGCACCTTGAGAGGCGGAGGCAGGTGGATCACCTGAGGTCAGGAGTTCATGACCAGCCTGGCCAACAATGGTAAAACCTCGTGTGTATTAAAAATACCAAATGAGTTGGGCGTGGTGGTGTGCACCTGTAATCCCAGCTACTTGGGAGTCTGAGGCAGGAGAATCACTTGAACCTGGGAGGTGGAGGTTGCAGTGAGCCAAGATGGTGCCATTGCACTCCAGCCTGGACAAAAAGAGCAAAACTGCATCTCAAACAATAAATAAATAAATAAATAAATAAATAAAGACTGTTATATATGACATTCTTTGACACCTAATCAAAGATATATGGTTAAGCTTATGCTTATTTAGACCTTTCTAATGCTACAGTTCCCAAAGTTCTCCTCCCCTAACACACAAGCATTGAAAATCATGAATCATTCTTTAAAAGACTACATATTAGGAATTCATAGGAACTGAGTTTTTAAGATCTTTTTCACAGTCTTAATTTATAAATCACTGAATGAGAATAAAAGATCTAACATTTCTGTCTTAGTAGATATGCTTTGTGACATATAGTACATTACTAAGCCTTTTATCTGTCTGAAAAATGGATCCGAACCCTGCTTCTAACTTATGTTTTAAGAGACACTGGGAAGGAAATGGGTAAAAGGACCTAGAGGGCTTTCGAATTTGTCAGCTCTCTAAACGCAAATTATTTGAAGACATTGCTAAGGTCTTCATTCTCTTTATTTTCTTGAGCTGAAACAGATAAGATAGTCGTTGGTTCATCAGTTGCCCCTGGCAACACTGCCCCATCCCCATCCTCTCCCACCTCTCCTACTTCTGATGCCACGACCTCTCTGGAGATGAACAATCCTCATGCCATCCCACGCCGGCATGCTCCAATTGAACAGCTTGCTCGCCAAGGCTCTTTCCGAGGTTTTCCTGCTCTTAGCCAGAAGATGTCACCCTTTAAACGCCAACTATCCCTACGCATCAATGAGTTGCCTTCCACTATGCAGAGGAAGACTGATTTCCCCATTAAAAATGCAGGTAATGTAGCATCTACCTGACTCACTGGGTACTCGAGCACTGAAGCATTCTCATCACTTCCCATGAAGACACTAATCCCATTAAACTAGGCATTCCTCTTTCCCTGAGGTTCGTTGATAGTTGTATCTTTTGTCATTTCCCATAGTGGGAAAACTAAGGTCCGTGGAGGGGGATGTGAATCCATAATTTCTCTTCAACAAACAGGCAGCAGAGCCATTGTGGAATTTCTAGCCTAAGCCATAAGATTTGTGGTTTGTCCTGATGTAAGTGCATTCACTGCCTTTCAGCCAACCTGCTCCCAAACATCAAGGGTCTCAAGTTTCTATTCTTATTCTGCCATTGGGACCCAGCAGGGAATTAATTAAAGAGGCCTTAGAAACACATAGCATTACCAGCAGAAGAAATGGATATGTGCTCATTGTCCTTCTGGCTGGTTGGCTCCATAAGGAGGAAACTCTAGACAGGTCTTTCGTGTACATCTAAGATCTGTTGTTCATCACAGACAGTGGACTTGTTCACAAGTATTCATTACCTTTCAGAACCGTCTCACAGGCCTTTGTGTGGCCTCTGTACAGCTATGCCAGCCTCTATAGGTCTATCCTCGTCATAAAATCTGTAGCTAAAGTATTAGATCTGGTCAGTGCTTTTGTTGGGCTCTATTTTACTTCCCTCTGAGACATGTCAAGCCATTGCTATAACAAAATATGAGGAAACTGTCTCAATAGGCCATTCCTACTGATGGTATAAAAGTACAGAGAGTTAAGTTCATCTGACAGATGAAACTAGGCCTAAAGAATAGTTGGACTAGATGATTACGGAGGGTCTTTTCAGTTCTCAGCTGAGGTACCTCATTTCAGTTCAGTCTCCTTCTAGGGCAGACAGGGAATAAAAACTATTATTCTCTTTACAGATGAGCAAACAGAGCTTTAGCACACATAATTAGCTTCCTCAGTGATACAGAAGTATCCTAGAGTCAGTATTAAGAATAAAGGCCCTAGCGTCCTACACCTCTGCTCACTTTTTCATGTTATCATAGATCATATGCTTAGTACTGGAGACTTTGGAGAAAAATGAGATTGATGACATTGTCATAGTTTGTTACAGAGAAAAGCACTAAGCATCCACTAGTGCCCAGACTTGAACCCATTTTCCTGACAGAATTACTAAAGGCTCCAGAACCTAATTCAGATCACAGTCTTGAGAACACGTTGGAAGGCATACAGGTTGCAAATGTCTTCTACAAAGATCTGGCTAGCTGAACATCTTGGCACAAAAAGGACAGATCCTCAACAGTGTTATAAGAAGAAGAAATGAAGAAATTTGGGGATTTGTAAGGGAGGAAGATGTGCCTTAGTACATTAATTGTTGACATTTTATACTTTCCCATCTGAAAAGCCAATGAAATTGTGGCCAGTAAATTTTTTGAAACTGGTTTTGTAGCCCTGCCATACAGTTAATTGAGCCTTTTCTTACATAAGCAGGAGATACAGTATAAAGTGCCAGCTTGCATCATACTGTCAAATTTCAGGATTATTCCATTTTTCTGTCTGGAGCCATTTTCTGTTTGCCTTGCAGTGCCAGAAGTAGAAGGGGAGGCAGAGAGCATCAGCTCCCTGTGCTCACAGATCACCAATGCCTTCAGCACACCTGAGGACCCCTTCTCATCTGCTCCGATGACCAAACCAGTGACAGTGGTGGCACCACAATCTCCTACCTTCCAAGGTTGGTGCCCTCTGACCTGCTCAGCTGTTCTCTTTACAACCAGTACTTTTAGTACACTGCTCACTAACTGTAAGTTGGCATCCTGAGCTTCCCAAGGCCTGGTCAGACCCATTAATTTCTCTATTTGATGTCTTAGATTCATTGATTTCTCCATTCGACGATGTCTTTGTGCCCTTCCTGTTTTCTAAGATGTCTGTGTTTGTCATTCTGCATGTGCCCATCTTTCACCCCATTCTATAAGGAATTTCTGTAGTCCCAACCTACTGCCTTATTTCCCACTTGACTGTTAAGGATCAGCATACCCATCCAGTTTCCCAAAAGCAGTAGTCATCAGAATTGGTTCAAAGGTTATGCTTTCTTTAGTGTAGTGGTTCTCAACTGGGGCAAAGTTTGTCTTTCACTGTCTGGAGACATTTTGGGGCTTTACAAGTTGGGGGTTGGGGGTGTTACTGGCTTGTGGTTAGATGCCAAGAATGCCACTAAACATCCTTCAGTGTAGACGACAGCACCCACAACAAAGGATTATCCAGCCCAAAATGTCAGTGGTGCCAATGTTGAGAAGCCCTGGACTCACCTAGTCTCTGCCCTGTCAAAGAGGCTAATAAAGAAAAAGGCACTCCTTTGAGCTCTTTAGTTCATCTTCTATAACAAGTGTCTTAAAATTTGCCTTTGTGGCATTGAAGAGTTAAAAGTTGTTTTCAGAGATACTGACTAAATAGTGGATATTGACTCAGAGGTCAGCAAAGAATTTATGTAACTTAAGTTACAGACTTGTAGAATTTGAGCTGCTATAATTGCTGTTTCTCCATTTCTTTTGAAAGAGAGCTCAGCGGAAGTTTTACTCCAGAGATAGTGCCCTGCTTCTACTGGAAGAACTACACACTTTTTCTCCAAGGGTCTTTTTCTTTTTCTTTTTAATAAACCTTCATAGTCATGTGTACCAAATGACTTTTCATGTCATCTAACAAACATTTATAATACCGGTAATAATAGGCACCATTTATTGAGCACTTACACATTGCTTGCCACATTGTGGTAGGTATTCATGCATTATTTCATTTAATCCCCACAACAAGCCTGTGAGGTAGGTGTTACAGATGAAAAAAAAAAAAGAGGCTCAGAGAGGATAAGTAAATTGCCCAAATCTTACAGACAGGATTTAAACTCAGGTCCTCCTGAATATAGTACCCGTTACATTCTGCTGATTCTGCCAGCCTACAAGGCACTAAGTGTGCAAAATTGAATATTTCAGTTTCCTTTCCCTGCCTTTAGAGGGCTCCCAGTTTCTAGGTGAAAAAAAAAATTTTTTTGCCACCAAAAAAGCAAAGGCAGTCTTTTAGACAAACTCTAGGTAAACAGTACCAACACCGGCTGGGTGCGGTGGCTCACATCTGTAATCCCAACAGGGAGGCTGAGGCAGGCGGATCACCAGAGGTCAGGAGTTCGAGACCAGCCTAGCCAACATGGTGAAACCTCGTCTCTACTAAAAATACAAAAGTTAGCCGGGCATGGTGGCAGGCACCTATAATCTCAGCTACTCGGGAGGCTGAGGCAGGAGAATTGCTTGAACCTGGGAGCCGGAGGTTGCAGTGAGCCGAGATCACACCATTGCACTCCAGCCTGGGTGACAAGAGCGAGACCCCATCTCAAAAAAAAAAAAAAAAAAAAAAAATAGTACCAACACCATAGGCATGGCTGTCCAGTCCTAAAAAGGATATAATTATATTGTAGGTCAGGGGAGGGTGCTTGTCTACACCAAACTGAATGTTATTGAGAGCTGGGCTAAGGAGAAGAAACTAATATAGGTATCTGGAGTAAAAGGAACAAGGGTTAGCAGATTTTAACAAGGGGAGATGAGGAAAGAATAGTAGGTATGTTGTGATATTGTAAACATCATAGAGGGGGAAAAAAATCTTTGTTAAAAAATGTTCTGTGAGTTACCAGGAGAGTTAAAAAAAAAAAACCTTCAAAAAAAGTTGAAATTAATTGTGTAGCAAATTAGAAATCTATCAAGCAAATGAAAACATACCAACTTCGATTTCTCATCTGTAATAGGGGGATAATACCAGACTCGTAGGGTTTTTGAGATAATTAAATGAAATGATGCATGTAAAATATTAGCTTAATGACTAGCACATAATAACGAATCATATATACATTTTAACTTTTGAGGAGGAAACAAAGAGTAATTTTTTTTTGTTTGAGATGGAGTCTTACTCTGTTGCCCAGGCTGGAGTGCAGTGGTGTGATCTAGGCTCATTGCAACCTCCGCCTCCCGGGTTCAAGTGATTCTCCTGCCTCAGCCTCCCTAGTAGCTAGGTTTACAAGTGCACACTGCCACACCCAGCTAATTTTTGTATTTTTAGTAGAGACGGGGTTTCGCCACGTTGGCCAGGCTGGTCTCGAACTCCTGACCTCAGGTGATCCACCCACCTCGGCCTCCCAAAGTGCTGGGATTACAGGCGTGAGCCACCACACCTGGCCTATTTTTAACCAGTATTATTGTTAACATAATCTGACCTTTTGGAAAAGTGAAGAAGAGGGAAATGCTATACCTACTTCATTATGCCGAAGGCTAAGCTATATCTAGAATAGTTAGATATTTTTTGCTGCTCCTAAGACGCAGCAGCTCTGTTCACCTTAATTTGAAATTGTTTTCGTAGGTTTCATTTCCCCACTCCCCATGCACATATTTTCCTAGAACAGTTATTTGACTTTATCTATACAACCATTTAAAAATTACAATCTCTGATTGCTTCTTTGCCTAATGGTATGTACATCCAATGCAAGATATCATGGTTTTCCCAAACATCAACTCTTCTCTCTTATCCATTCCACCAGTATTGTACATTCACCTGACTGACACAGCTCCAAGGGGTCACTTGTACACCCTGCATGAATTAACTCCATTGATGTTGTCTGCTCCCGTTGTAGCTAATGGCACTGACTCAGCCTTCCATGTGCTTGCTAAGCCAGCCCATACTGCTCTAGCACCCGTAGCAATGCCTGTGCGTGAAACCAACCCTTGGGCCCATGCCCCTGATGCTGCTAACAAGGAAATTGCAGCCACATGTTCGGGTAAGGTGGCCACAGATGGTGTTGAGGATTCTGGGATCAGATAAGTGACCCTGGTTCTAAAACTCAGCCAGTTAGCTGAGTGGGAACTAGGGAGGAATCCTTTCAGGAAAACTATGTTCCCTCCTAGAAATAAGTTGCTTACATAAGAAAGGATGGTGAAGGAGAACAAAAGAGATCAGACTGATAGTCATTAGGACTGTGGAACAGGACTGTGGAACAGAGCCCCACCCATAGAGCTTTTATAAAATACAGATTCCGGCTGGGTGTGTTGGCACATGCCTGTAATCCCAGCACTTTGGGAGGCTGAGGTGGGTGGATCACGAGGTCAGGAGATGGAGACCATCCTGGCCAACATGGTGAAACCATCTCTACTAAAAATACAAAAATTAGCCAGGCGCGGTGGCATGCGCATATAGTCCCAGCTACTCAGGAGGCCGAGGCAGGAGAATCGCTTGAACCTGGGAGACAGAGTTTGCCGTGAGCCAAGATTGCGCCACTGCACTCCAGCCTGGGCAACAGAGCAATACTCTGTCTCAAAAAAAAAAAAAAAAAAAAAAAAGATTCCAGGGCCCCACCTCAGAGAATCCATCACCGGATTTGGTGATGTGCAGACATTCCTGTAGAAAGAGGGGGCCCTGCTCCTACAATAGGAGGCCTACAAAAAGTGCTAGAAAAAGCACTTCATTTTTGCTTTTTTGTACTTTCTAGTTTTGTATAAAAAACATCTATTAATTATAAAACCAAAAAGTTTTTTTTTTTTGGAGGTGGAGTATTGTTCTGTCACCCAGGCTGGAATGCAGTGGCATGATCTTGGCTCACTGCAACCTCCATCTCTCAGGTTCAAGCAACTCTCCTGCCTCAGCCTCCCGAGTAGCTGGGACTACAGGTGCATGCCACCATGCCCAACCAATTTTTGTATTTTTAGTAGAAATGGGGTGTCACCATGTTGGCCAGGCTGTTTTCGAACTCCTGACCTCGTGATCCACCCGCCTTGGCCTCCAAAAGTGCCGGGATTACAGGTGTGAGCCACCACACCCGGCCTCAAAAGGTTTTAACATAGTAATAAAGGCAGTTCACCAAAAAGACAACATATTTCTGGAAGCCAGGCAGAGGCCAGCAAGATATGGCCAGGTCACTGGTTATTTTCTTTTTGCTCTGTTAGAGCAGAAGATGAATTGCCTTGGGCCCTTTAGAGGATGTGCAAGCTAGGTGTTTTTTTTTTTTTTTTTTTTTTTGAGACGGAGTCTCGCTGTGTCACTAGGCTGGAGTATCTTGGTTCACTGCACCCTCTGCCTCTCAGGTTCAAGCAACTCTCTTGCCTCAGCCTCCCGAGTAGCTGGGACTACAGATGCATACCACCACGCCCAGCTAATTTTTGTATTTTTAGTAGAGACGGGGTTTCACCATGTTGGCCAGGATAGTCTCGATCTCTTGACCTCAGGTGATCTGCCCACCTCGGCCTCCCAAAGTGCTGGGATTACAGGCATAAGCCACTGCACGTGGCCTTTTTTTTTTTTTAAGACAGAATTCTCACTGTGTTGCCCAGGCCAGAGTGCAGTGGCACAGTCATAGCTCACTGCAGCCTCCAGCTCTTGGGCTCAAGTAGTCCTCCTGCCTCAGCCTCACAAGTAGCTGGGATTACAGGTGTGAGCTACCACAACCAGCTAGTTTCTGTATTGTGGATGAGCCATAGCAACAGCGAGGGGTTTCTGACATCAGTCAGCTGCCGTGGTTTAATGCATTTGAGCCATATCTAGACAGTGCTTCAGTGTGGCTGACACAGCAGCATGGTCTTGACAAGTTTTCTTCATCCTACCACAAAATCCCAGTTGGTAATAGAGACTTTACTCCTACCTATCAAAACCACAAAATGTCCCATTAGGGGGGGACATGTTGTACATGTTAGGATCATTCAAATAACCAAGATTATAAGGTGAGGAAAGATGCCCCTAACTGATTCTTTTGTCTCTCATCTTGTTGGTTCCAGGGACCGAGTGGGGTCAATCTTCTGGTGCTGCCTCTCCAGGTCTCTTCCAGGCCGGTCATAGACGTACTCCCTCTGAGGCCGACCGATGGTTAGAAGAGGTGTCTAAGAGCGTCCGGGCTCAGCAGCCCCAGGCCTCAGCTGCTCCTCTGCAGCCAGTTCTCCAGCCTCCTCCACCCACTGCCATCTCCCAGCCAGCATCACCTTTCCAAGGGAATGCATTCCTCACCTCTCAGCCTGTGCCAGTGGGTGTGGTCCCAGCCCTGCAACCAGCCTTTGTCCCTGCCCAGTCCTATCCTGTGGCCAATGGAATGCCCTATCCAGCCCCTAATGTGCCTGTGGTGGGCATCACTCCCTCCCAGATGGTGGCCAACGTATTTGGCACTGCAGGCCACCCTCAGGCTGCCCATCCCCATCAGTCACCCAGCCTGGTCAGGCAGCAGACATTCCCTCACTACGAGGCAAGCAGTGCTACCACCAGTCCCTTCTTTAAGCCTCCTGCTCAGCACCTCAACGGTTCTGCAGCTTTCAATGGTGTAGATGATGGCAGGTTGGCCTCAGCAGACAGGCATACAGAGGTTCCTACAGGCACCTGCCCAGTGGATCCTTTTGAAGCCCAGTGGGCTGCATTAGAAAATAAGTCCAAGCAGCGTACTAATCCCTCCCCTACCAACCCTTTCTCCAGTGACTTACAGAAGACGTTTGAAATTGAACTTTAAGCAATCATTATGGCTATGTATCTTGTCCATACCAGACAGGGAGCAGGGGGTAGCGGTCAAAGGAGCAAAACAGACTTTGTCTCCTGATTAGTACTCTTTTCACTAATCCCAAAGGTCCCAAGGAACAAGTCCAGGCCCAGAGTACTGTGAGGGGTGATTTTGAAAGACATGGGAAAAAGCATTCCTAGAGAAAAGCTGCCTTGCAATTAGGCTAAAGAAGTCAAGGAAATGTTGCTTTCTGTACTCCCTCTTCCCTTACCCCCTTACAAATCTCTGGCAACAGAGAGGCAAAGTATCTGAACAAGAATCTATATTCCAAGCACATTTACTGAAATGTAAAACACAACAGGAAGCAAAGCAATCTCCCTTTGTTTTTCAGGCCATTCACCTGCCTCCTGTCAGTAGTGGCCTGTATTAGAGATCAAGAAGAGTGGTTTGTGCTCAGGCTGGGGAACAGAGAGGCACGCTATGCTGCCAGAATTCCCAGGAGGGCATATCAGCAACTGCCCAGCAGAGCTATATTTTGGGGGAGAAGTTGAGCTTCCATTTTGAGTAACAGAATAAATATTATATATATCAAAAGCCAAAATCTTTATTTTTATGCATTTAGAATATTTTAAATAGTTCTCAGATATTAAGAAGTTGTATGAGTTGTAAGTAATCTTGCCAAAGGTAAAGGGGCTAGTTGTAAGAAATTGTACATAAGATTGATTTATCATTGATGCCTACTGAAATAAAAAGAGGAAAGGCTGGAAGCTGCAGACAGGATCCCTAGCTTGTTTTCTGTCAGTCATTCATTGTAAGTAGCACATTGCAACAACAATCATGCTTATGACCAATACAGTCACTAGGTTGTAGTTTTTTTTAAATAAAGGAAAAGCAGTATTGTCCTGGTTTTAAACCTATGATGGAATTCTAATGTCATTATTTTAATGGAATCAATCGAAATATGCTCTATAGAGAATATATCTTTTATATATTGCTGCAGTTTCCTTATGTTAATCCTTTAACACTAAGGTAACATGACATAATCATACCATAGAAGGGAACACAGGTTACCATATTGGTTTGTAATATGGGTCTTGGTGGGTTTTGTTTTATCCTTTAAATTTTGTTCCCATGAGTTTTGTGGGGATGGGGATTCTGGTTTTATTAGCTTTGTGTGTGTCCTCTTCCCCCAAACCCCCTTTTGGTGAGAACATCCCCTTGACAGTTGCAGCCTCTTGACCTCGGATAACAATAAGAGAGCTCATCTCATTTTTACTTTTGAACGTTGGCCTTACAATCAAATGTAAGTTATATATATTTGTACTGATGAAAATTTATAATCTGCTTTAACAAAAATAAATGTTCATGGTAGAAGCTTTTGCCCATGAAGGGCTGTTCTTTCCCCTTTCCTTTATTAGTAAATGAATTTATTTTTCGTTCTTTTGGTCTTACTCTCCATTCTACTGCTGCTGTAAATCCCTAGTTTAGTGACTAGAAAAATACCCTTAAGATTCATATTTTCATTCATACTTTAATCCTGAGTGTATCTCTAAAGTCAGATTCTTGCTGCTCAAAGTGTGGTCTGTAACAGCAGCATGGACTTCACCTAGGAGCTGGTTAGAAATGCAGAATCTCAGCGGGGTGGGGCAGTGCTTCTCAACCTGGGCTATGCAATAGAATCACCTGAGGATATCTTTTTAAAATCCTAACGCCTGGCCTATATTCCAGACCAATTAAATCAAAATTTTAGTGGGGCAGGGGGACCCCCCAGGTTGTGTTTTTTTTTTTTAAGCTCGCAATATGGTAAAGTTGAGAACCACTGGCCTAGAATGAGTTTTACCTCTAATCTTAGCCCACTATTCTGTGACTGGTTCTATTAGAACTAGTTAGCTGCTAGCTAACCTCAAACTTACCTTCTGATGTGTTTATACCAATAGGCCAAAATCTGGTTTAATTAAACTGGGGATTTCAAAAAAGTGGCCTTTATTTTCCAATTTCTATAGCAAAACCAGCCATAAGTGAACATGGATGCTCTTCAATATTTTTCCAGTATTAAATGAAAAAAGACCTCTGCCCCAGCCCACATTTCCTTTGTTGAATGAGTAGAGAAGACTGAGAAGTATCACTCACCCGTGATGTGGTTTGTCCCTTTTCCAGCCAGTGTGTTGGTAATAAAAGTCACCTTTCAGAGCTTTGGTCCCTGTAATGCCCGTCTTTCCTGTGTCCAGGAATAACCTTTGCTACTAGGCAGTCCTCTGAAAGATTTGTAGAAGGTTAAAGTGGAAAGGGACTTGGAAGCTCATAGAATCCATGCCTCTTCTTTTAGCATCAAGGAATTAGAAGTCCTGAGAGATGAAGAATGTTGTCTTCCAACTCAAACCATTTCTGAAGCCATTTCCCTGTTACTGCATTGCCCACAACCCTTCCCCATTGCTATCCTCATCCTGCTAATGCTGTTTTTAATGACTGACAGTCTGATTTGTCTTTGGCAGCAAACATTTTGCTTCACAGATTCCTACTTAAGGAAGAGAGGGGCTCCTCATTGTCACTGTACAGAGCAGGCTGGTCAGCTTTACACAGGTGTCAGATGAACCGTCACAGCCAGATTTGCATGTTGGCCTCAGGAGGGCTTCAAGGTCCAACATCTCGACGTAAGGAGCGTTTCCAGTTCTTTCATGCTCAGATAACAGTGCTAACTGCAGCTGTTTCATCCCAAATCCCTATTTGAGGTCTTAACATCTATTCCATTTTGCCAACAAGGGTTATGCTGTTAACCCTCTGCACCAGATTTAGAGCTGACTGATGCACTGCCTAGAAGGGTGAGAGAGACTAGAGCAATGAACCATCGCTGATTTTAGCACAGAATACTTCCCTGATACAGCAGGACTTGGCATGCCCTTTAGAAAACAAACAGGTGTTAACTTTGAAATCATTACACATCTCCCTGCCCAGCTTTAAATTAAGTGGAACCCTGACAGCTAGCTTTAAAACACATTGATGGGCTGGGCACAGTGGCTCACACCTCTAATCCCAGCATTTTGGGAGGCCGAGGCGGGCGGATTACCTGAGGTCGGGAGTTCAAGACCAGTCTGACCAACATGGAGAAACCCCGTCTCTACTAAAAATACAAAATTAGCCAGGCATGGTGGCACATACCTGTAATCCCAGCTACTCAGGAGGCTGAGGCTGGAGAAGCGCTTGAACCCAGGAGGTGGAGGTTGCAGTGAGCCAAGATCGCACCATTGTACTCCAGCCTGGGCAAGAAGTGCGAAACTCTGTCTCAAAAAAAAAATAAAAAAAATGCATTGATGGCTGGGCGTGGTGGCTCATGCCTGTAATCCCAGCACTTTGGGAGGCTGAGGCGGGCAGATCATCTGAGGTCAGAAGTTCGAGACCAGCCTGGCCAACATGGTGAAACCCCATCTCAACTAAAAATACAAAAATTACCCAGGCATGGTGATAGGCATCTGTAATCCTAGCTACTCAGAAGGCTGACACAGGAGAATCAAGAACCCAGGAGACGGAGGTTGCAGTGAGCTGAGATCGCGCCATTGCCCTCCAGCCTGGGCAACAAGAGTGAAACTCTGTCTCAAAAAACAAACAAACAAATGCATTTAACTATTCCTGTGTAACAAATTATAAAGGGAAGCTGTAAAGTAAAGGTTTTTCTTATCCAAACAGATTGCTCTTCTTGAAAACAGCAGCCTGTGGTTATGTCAGAGATGCAAACACTGCTGAAGGCTACAGAGAGAAGCTGGTAACTGGCTGCCGTTGAGGCTAAACACTGGGTGGGTTTTTGAAAGAGCTAATGTATTCCAGAAGATAACTCCCTTTGCCAGCCAGAGAGAGGAAGCCAAGAGTCCATCTTCCTTTCTCCCTAGCCCTATGAACTATTTTGGACTGGGGCTGGAACTAGCCTTCATCCCTACTGCCAGATGGGCTGAGCGTGAGGCTGGAAACGTGAACAGCTGGCACAGCAGAAGCTGGAGTAATACTCATTGCCACAAAGCTGGGCCTGCAGGATCAAATCACAGTTGGCCAGCTCTGGCTGGTCGACGCAGTCCCTGCCAGGGTCCCTGGGCTGGGCGGTGGGTGCTGCAGAACGACAGGGGAGAGAGAAGGTGGTGAGGAAGCTCTGTGTATGCTGAAAATTCTCACCTGCCATTTCATTTCCTTCAAAGGAACACAGCATTATAACTGCCAGATTGAAAACGAAGTGCACTTACCCTGTAACCTTTTAACCATACGTACAAACTCTATGAGGGATGATGATTTCTACCTGTTTCTTGGCCTCACTTCAACATGCAGTGGTCCTCCCATTATTATTTGTGGCCTCAGCCCACTGAATAGCTCTTCCTAGACTCCCAAATATTTATTGACTGGATAATTAAACATCTCTTGAAGTTAACTCCTTATGTTTGAGACCTGAATTACTAAATGACAACTGTTCTTGCCTCTGGATTGGGAGAGCAGGTAGGATCAGCCCCAAGTAAAATTTTGAGTTAGCAAGAGCTCTTATCTTTTCCCTTTCTCTGCTGGGTTCCTCCAACCATCAAAGTTTTGTCCCTTCAATATCACCAGCTTATCTTAGTCACCTGGGTCCTCATCCTTCCAGTTTTTCACTTTCCCCAGAGGAAGCAATGCATATTAGACAAGGTAATAGGAAAACAGTCCTGTTAACGGTGGCTCTAATACTAACTACACTGAGAACAAAGCAAAGCCCTTGTTTTCTCTCCCTCTGAATTTACTAGGAACGTCTGTATCTCATAACTCCCTATTAAGTTTCATTCAGCTGGGTGTGGTGGCTCATGCCTGTAATCCCAGCACTTTGGGAGGCCAAGGCGGGCGGATCACGAGGTCAGGAGTTTGAGACCAGCCTGGCCAATATGGTGAAACCCCATCTCTACTAAAAATGCAAAAATTAGCCAGGCATGGTGGCGTGCCCCTGTAGTCCCAGCTACTCGGGAAGCTGAGGCAGAAGAATCGCTTGAACCCAGGAGGCAGAGGTTACAGTGAGCTGAGACCACACCACTGCACTCCAGCCTGGGTGACAGAGCAAGATTCTGTCTTAAAAAAAAAAAAAAAATTTCATTCTACTGCTTCATCTCTCTTCTGGAAGGGGTTCTTAAAACTCAGCTGACTTAGACCAGAGTGGTACCTTCCCTGAAGTCAGACCTCAAGCAGCCAGAGAAAGCTTATCTTTCTCTCTCCCCTTGTTTACTCACAAAATACCACTAAAAGACTGTACCTAGCAGCGAACAACCTTACAAACGTTTGGTATATTGGTATAACCAGACTATTACCTACCTAAATTTATATAGATAACAAAGCCATTAATGCATATTGTTTCTAAAAATCTGTAACTTTGGTATCAACTCTGAGCTGGTACAGCCCAAGACCCATCATAGTGGGAACTCAGCATAGTGATTAAGCACACCAGCTCTGGACCCATACTGCCCGGGCTCAATCCGGGCTCTGCCACTTGCCAGCTGGGTAACTCTGGGCAAGTTGCTTAAGCCCTTTATGCACATTTCTTCATCTGTGAAATGGGACTAATAACAGCAACAGCAACCTACTTCACAGCGATGTTGAGAAGTCCTCCCAGTAGAGCTATGTCCCTTTTACCTCAGCCTGACCACCCCAAGGCCTCCTACCCTGGTGCTAACACTGAAATTCAATGTGCCACCCAACCATGAGTAGGGCAGGGTCAGGCAGCCGCACACCGTATGACCCAACAAAAAATGAACAGGTGAGAGCAGCCAGCAGAGGACCGGAGGAGAGTGGCCAGACTGAGGCCATGTCTGTCCCATCTGGGACACACATCTCAGGCCATTTCAGCGTGGTGACCAGGTATCAGGCAAGTTTCTCATTGTAGTTTGGTTTTCCATGTAATCCCATCTGGAGCTAATCGCAAACATAATGTCTAGGTCCTCTTGACAGTTCTCTCACTGTGAATCTGCATTTTGCTTTGTCACACAGCCTTGATTTGGTTATTATGTAGACAAGGTCAATTTTCTGGACATGATACAGGTGAAAAGTAGTCCCTGGAGTGTGGTGCTTTCGCCAATGTAACTCCATCATTGTGCAGGCAGGCACTTAGTCACCATGTATCTGAGTGTCGCGGCTTTTGTAGCTGGGTGAGCAGGAGGGAATGGAGGGAAGAACGAGTTTTAACGCTCCCGTTCACCGAGCTGCGAGCGGCGGGAACATTTGTCCCTGTAACACCCCCTTGGGGCTCCGCGGTTGCTGGCATCTCCGAGTTTTCGGGCGCCACCATGTTCCCCTTGTCTATACGTTAGCACCCAGTGCGGAAGCCGCCTGTGCCGTGCGCTGAGCGCGGGGCCGCCACGAGTGCGGGATCCGGGTCAGCGGAGCGCAGCCTGCCCGGCCAAGTGGGCGGAGCGAGACGGTGGGCCGAGCGAGGCCCCGGACAGAGGTCAAGGCGGCGGGCTGGCGAAGCGGCAGGAAGGAACCCTGTAACCCTCCCTCCCGCTCGCCGAGCAACAGGTGAGAAAAAAGCCGCTGGACAACATTTCCAGCCACAACATGAGCACCTAGTGATGCCAAGCACTGAGCTGGGCCCTGGGGAGGCGATCTCTAAAGAGATCATAGACAGGAAGCCGACAAGTCAGTCCCACTCACAAAGCAACATTTCAGCCAGACCTTCAACTTCTAGTACTGGCCAGTCTCCACCCTCAGCCTGGCAGCCAGGAAGCAGCCAGGCCTGCCCCTCTGAGTGTAACCGTGCTCCTGGCATGGCGCTGCAGCCCTGATTGTCAGGAATGCCCAGAAGACCAGGCAGGAAGGGCCCTGGCACCTCCGAGCCTGGCATACTCCCCCAAGGTCTGTATCAGGCCTGTGAGAATTGGCAGCTTGGCCCGAGGTACCACTCTGTCTTCAGTCCCTCCGTGAACAAGAACCAAGGACACAAGGAAGCACAGGCTGGGGGACGAGCAAAGCCCTGTCCCCCTTTCCCTCCTGCTTATTTGAACATATCTCTTGTAAGTGTGAACTCTGAACCACAATCTGTTTCATCAGTTCTGATATGCACTTATTTTCACATCTCTCAAGTTGGTTTGCATCCTAATTGATGGTATCAGAATTGTGTCGTTTCACTGGCAGCATTTTTTTCTTGGTACAAAAATAATGCATCTTACAGGCAATTTGGATTTGTTGAAGTATGATAGAGTAGTAGCTAGAGGAGGTAAGGCTACAATATCAAATATCAAATGATGCAAGTAAGATTCCACTTAGGTACAAGTATAGTAATTTCGTGGGGGTAAAAAAAAAAAAACATGGGGAGTCAAAAGACATGGGCTCTAGTCCCAGGTAGGCCACATTTGCGGTGTGACCGGTGGAAACACCACTTACGCTCTCTGCATACCTGTCTCATTTGTAAAATGGTGATGATAATCCCTGCCCTTTCCTTTCTGGGTTATATGGTCAAACGGCCATAAAGTGGCCAGATTTTAGTGGTTTAGAGTGGATTAGAGTGGACAGATTTTAGTGGTCTGCCTTAAGTTTTAAGTTTTATAATGAAATTCCAGTCAGTCATATGTCTCAAAATCGGTGAGTCTGAATGTCCTGCATGCATTAATGTCTATTAAGCTATCTCCAGGGGCCCAGCAGAGCATCATTTCCTTCATCTCCACTACAGCCCTCTCAGGTGGTGGAGCAGCCCCACTGTAGACGGGAGGAAAATGAGGCTCAGGAAGGTAAGCCCCTTGCCCCAAGTCACACTACCAGCAACTGGCAGGGTGAGCCAGGATTCAAACCAGAGTCCCTCAGACTGCAGAGCCAGCCCTTGAGAACCAGTAAATCTACTGGGGAATGTCCTTCCCATCCCCGGATATAGACCTTTCCTACCTGGTGAGACCACCTTCACCTCGGTGCTGCGGCTGACTGCCTGGCTCCCCTGGTAGGCACTGCACGTGTAGGAGCCCTCATCCCTGGCCCGCAAGTTGTAAATGAGCAGCGTGCCATCTGGGGACTGGTGGACACGGTGGCCATCAGCCTGCACAGGTAGCCCGTTCCTGGAGGAGAGAGGACACTGGGAGAGCCATCAAGGGCCTCTGGAGGTCTGGGAGACAGAGGGAAGAGGTAATCAAAGGCCATTCCAGAGCCAACCGTTCCCACCCCTTGAGAGCAAACAGGTGGAGGACAGGGAGAAATCAAGAATGACCAAGGTTTCTAGGTTGGGTTACTGGGTGATGATGGTGCCCCTCCAACCTTGGGAGATCCAAGGCTGGGGTGAATGGCGAGGTTGTTTTCTGCTATTTCAAATTTGGGGTGCCTGTGAGATAGCAGGAGGCCTCAGATTTGAAGTCTGGAGCTCAAGAGTCCAGACCCAGATAGTGTGTCAGCATCGCACTGACGCAGCGAAGTGCATGTCTATGAGGTGGTCCAAGTCACACGGGGAGAAACCAAGGACAGGCCCTGAGGCACAGCAGAAGACAGTAGTTCCTGGAGCAGAGGGAAGGGAGAATTTCAAGAAGGAGCATACGGCAAGCAGAACGACACTACAGGTCACGTAAAGACTGCAAGGTGTCCAGTGGAGTTAGGGAGAGAGGCAGTGACCTTGGCCAGGACAGTGTCCTGGAACAGGGGCTGACATGCGGCCCCACTGCAGGCCCTGAGAAGTGAGTAGGGAGATGAACAGGCAGAGGCAACCAACATGGACAGCTGTAAAGGGGACACTATGTCAGCATAGGGTCTGCAGGGACATAGAGGCTCAATGGAAGGTGGTTGTGAAGAGGGGAGTTCTATGCATGTTTGCTGCTGGAAAGATCCAGGAGAGGCCAACATGGAGAAGCAGGCCTGACAGGCTGATCAGGGGATGGCTGGACTGAGCACACCAGTGGGGACACCTCTAGCGGCTCCCACCGCCTTCCCTGGGCTCAAGGCCACACAAGACACAGATGCCCTCCGCAATCGCGTCACCTCTCCCAGCCAGTGCACAGGCCGGTTCCTATCCTGGTGTCCTTTCTCAAATGCCCACCTTTGGCACTTGCTGCTTCCTCTACCAAGAACATCCTTTGCCATCCTTAGCTATTAAGGTGCAGCCAAAGTCATTTCCTGGCCCTCTTCCTTGACACTCCTCTGTGCACAGACAGCAGTTGCAACAAAACACATCTGGAGCTCCTGGGACACTGGGCCATCTGCCCGGGAGTACTCTGGGGGCTCAGGTGACCCCAGGATCCCCAGAACCTAGCCTAGTCCTGACACATTACAGGGAAGGAGGAGGCAAAAAATGGCTGCTAAATGAATGGACAAATATAAAACCAATTGATCTAGGGTAAAAGACCACCAAAGTCCCCAAAGCTGAGTGTAGTCCAGTGGTTCACAGCTCCAGGAGAGATTTTGCCACCAGGGGACATTTGGCAGTGGGTCTGGAGCCATTCTTTATTGTCATGACTTTGGGGAGGGTGCCCCTGGCATCTAGTGGGTAGATGCCCTGGATGCTGCTAAACATCCTGCAAAGCACAGGACAGCCCTCAGCAACCAAAACTTACCAGCTCCAAACTGTCAGCAGTGCTGAGGTTAGGAAACCTTAGTGTAGCCCAACCAGCAGAGAGCCAGTGGCCCTACAGAGCTTTGCTCTGTAGGGATGAGGGTGCTGCAGCCCTCTCCCCTGGCACCAGGCCTGGAAGCCGGAATGGAAGCAGTGGTGACAGTGACATCCCTGGCAGAAAGGTGGACACCCACACCTGAGGTTGTGAAGGTCTGGGGACAGGGACAACTTGGAATAGAGCCTTTACCTGGACCACCTGATGTTCACACTTTCTCCTGCTACCACACACAATAGCCTGGCCGTATCACCCTCTGGCACTGTCACAGTAGGGGGCAGTCCTGAGATTGTCAGCTCCCCTGGGCACAAGGACAAGTCATTGTCAGCCACTATGAAGATCCTGCCCTACCCATGCCACCTGACCTCAAAGGCCACTCAGGACTGCCACTTTACCCAGAACTCTGAGCTGGACCCATCGCTGGTCTCGGTCCTGCCCATTGAAAGCGACACAGGTGTAGAAGCCGCCATCTTCTACAGCCACTCGGCTAATGACCAGGGAGCCATCAGGCTGCAGCTGGTGTCTGGGGACCAAGTACAGCCAGTTGGCTCCAGCCCAAGGAGCCTCCCCTCTCCTCCAGCTCCGTCCCTCGAGCATGGGGTCAGGGAGGGAACACAAGGTCTTCTAGGTCCCTGGTGAGAGGCTAAGCATCCCCTAGTGTTTGGTGGGGTCTGACAGAAGGACCATTTGGCCTCAGACTTTACACCTGCAGCTGCTGGCGCTTTCGGTGGTGCGATCTCAGCTCACTGCAACCTCTGCCACCCAGGTTCAAGCAATTCTCCCTCAGCCTCCCGAGTAGCTGGGATTACAGGCATGTGCCACCACGCCTGGCTATTTTTGTATTTTTAGTAGAGATGGGGTTTCAGCATCTTGGACAGGCTGGTCTTGAACTCCTGACCTCGTGATCCACCCCCGTCTCGGCCTCCTATAGTGCTGGGATTACAGGCGTGAGCCACTGCGACTGGCCGAAAATGTCTGGCTTTTAAGCTTAACTGTATAAACCATTTCAAGTTTTCTGATACAAAATTTCGGTTTGGGTTTCTAGTTTTTGCTATACTCATTTAATGGGCTCAAATACTGGTTCTGCTGCTTATAAGCTGTGTGATGTTAAGCTTCTGTGTGTAAAATGGGGGGAAAACAGCACCTGCTCAATATGGCTTTTTTGCAGGTCACGTGATAGAGCACAAGCCTCATACTCAGTGCCTGCTCAGTAAAGGGTAGCCATTATGGTTATAGCTGGGAATGTGTTCTGACTCCATTTTCTTCTTCCGTCATCACCTCTGTTAGCTGGCCTCTTATTTCTGTCCACTAACCACATTCTGGAAAGGCCCAGAGACTCAAATGTTAGCCAACCCAAGGAGCCCTTTGCCCAGCTGCTCCATCTCTCAAGAGGCCCTGGAGTCCGGCTCAGGACTGGCCATGACCATGCGCTAGCAGCTCCCTTCCCCGGTGGCCTCCATAGGATAAGGTGGGGCTGGAGGCAGAATAGGAGGAAGGGGAGAGGAGTCAAATAAACCTGGGAGAAGAGACAGGCTGCCCATCTCTCTGCCACTCGATGGCTGGGGGCGGGAAGCCTTCGGCACGGCAGGTCATCCGGATCCGCTGGCCTGGACTGGCATCCACCACCCGGGGCTGGTTCTGGTCCAAACGCAGCCTGCCAAACAAGCAGCCCACAGCATGAGGGGCCCTTGCCGTTGCCCCCGCCTACTCCCATGGGCACCTCTGCACAAGCCTGGTGGCCCCTTCTCCCTCTCCAGCCAGATTCAGCTTCCTAAAATCCCCTGCCTTGTTCTGGTTAGGAAATGGTCAATAACTACCTGGGGTGAAGTCTAAAGCTGCCTCCCCGCCACTACCACTCCCTGCCCCTCCACCACAGCTGGCCAGACACACCCACCAGCCAGGATCCCCATCTGTCACCCCCCACCCTGCACATTTGCCACTAGGTCTTTGAGTTGGGCACCCCCTCCGGTCCTCCACACCCCCTCTGTAAACTGAACCATTCCTCAAGGCCAGCTCAAGACGCTCCTCAAAGAAGCCGGCTCAGGCCCTCTAGCTGTGTGTGCCCTTCCCTTCCTCAGTTCCTGAGTCCTGAGCCTGTAGAACTGCACCGTTCCCAGAAGCTTCTTCCTCAAGAGGCCCAGCTCTGGGAGCCCTGTTTTTCTAGGCCTGGCCTCCCAGAGCCCTGAGCAGGGGCTGGCAAGGCCTGGTCACAGCAGACGTTCCCCTCCTTATCCACTGAGACCCCCGGCCCTGGCCCTGGCGTGGGGGAGGGCAAGATGGCATTGCTGAGTTCTTACCTGTTTGCAGGCTGTGGGTGTGAAGAGGGGATGGCCCCCAGGGGCCCAGCAGCCCCCGCTTGGCCAAAGTCCTGAGCTGGGTCCCTGGGCTGAGGGAAGCGGCTCAGCTCAGCCTCAGACAGCACGGCCATGTCACCCCCTGTCATGAGGCCAGGAGAAACAAGGTGTGAGCTGTGAGGAAAAGGGAGTGGAAGGAAGGGCGGGCCATGAGACCAGCAGGGACTTACGGAGAAATGAGGGCCACAGGGTGGTCCCTGCCAGCAGGAGGAATTGACTCAGAGAGACACCCTGGGCCCCTCTAGCGTGAGGCAGCCCTCGGTCAGGCTCCCCATCCTGGCCTTCCCACTCGGGCCCCTGAGAACGCACTGGTGGATGGGGTGGGGACAGAGACCTATGATGCGAAGTTGGATCTTCTGGGAGTCGCGGCCTGGCCGGGTGCTGCCACAGCTGTAGGTGCCCGCGTCCTCTGCCTGCAGGGGGTGGATGATCAGGGATCCGTCGAACTGCAGCCTGTGCCTGAGTGGGGTGGTGTGGGAGGACATGAGCTCTGGGCTCCCAAGGGCAACAGTGAGTCTTCCCTCCGCCTCGGTGCTCGTGCCAGAGGGGACCAGAGTCTACAGAGCACCCTCCCACCCCAAGTGAGGCTGGGGGAATATGCTTCAGGGGAGGCTGTCACACACACCTGTCAGCGGAGGTGGAGGGAGCTGTCACGTGAACCTGTCAGAGGAGGTCGGGGGGCTGTCACACACACCTGTCAGAGGAGGTCGGGGGGCCGTCACACACACCTGTCAGAGGGGGTAGGGGGGCTGTCACACACACCTGTCAAAGGAGGAGGGGGTCTGTCACACCTATCAGAGGAGGTGGGGGAGCTGTCACACACACCTGTCAGGGAAGGTAGGGGGGCTGTCACACCTGTCAGAGGAGGTGGGGGGACTCTCACCCACCTGTCAGAGGAGATGGGCTGGCCATCTTTCTGCCAGGCAGCCTGGGATTCCGGGGCAGTGTCGTCTGAGCAGGAGAGCCGCACCAACTGCCCCAGGGCTGCCTGCACCAACGAGGGCTCCACACCTGCCAAGCTAATCCTGGAGAGGTGGGAAGTGAGATCTGCTGACTGGCATGAGCGCCAGGACCAGAACCACCCTAAGCAGTGTGTTCCATGACAGACAGCTTGGGGCCCATCCTGTCACAGGCACTTTTGGGGCTAGAGGGTCCCTATGGGAGGCAGAGCCCCAGAAGCCCATGGATTCAGGAATCTACCCTCCCCAACCTGCCCCCGGCTCCCCCAAGCATCACTGCCTCAACCTGTTCTTGTAGCAGCAACAAGGTAGGTGCAAAGCCCAAGGGGTGGGGAGAGGTCGGGAGGGACGGCACACACCAGGTTCATGTGGGGGCTAAACTACACGCTCGACCCATGTGGAACACAACGCTTTTAATTTTGTTTTTAACCTTCCCAAATCCTTCATTAATATGATCCAGTCCCAGGAGTCATCTTGACCAGAACCCACACCTGTGAGGTATACAGGGCAGAAGGTAATGCCACCATTTTACAGGTCAAGAAACTGAGGCTTGGAGAAGTTGGGTGACTTGCCAAAGGTCACGAAGCCAATAAACTTTTCCAGCCAGACAGGCCCCGGGGTATACTGGCGAGATCTGATGGAGAACCCCGGAGCCACCATCTGCACAGATGTCTATTAGACATCAGAGTAGCCTCAAGTCTCTGAAGCCCCAGCTTCTCCATCTGTAGAATGATGGCAACAAGGCCCACCAGGCAGGGCTCTCGGGAGAAACAGAAGTTAGGGATGGGGAGGGAGGGCCGGCTGACTTCAGGGGTTTAGCTCCAACTGGCATGCTCCTTGTCTGGGCGTCCTAACCCCCTCACCTGGGGAAGGTGGGCCTCACCTGTAGGAGGAGCTGTGGAAGGGTGGCGCTGGTGATCCGGCATCTCCACCCAGTCCAGGGGCCCTGGACCCAAGCTCCTGCCCCCATGGCCATTCTCCAAAGGCCTGGGTGTGGGGGGCCTCCCCTGGCCCAGGCTGTTGGTCTTGCCGCCAGAGACCACCAGAAGGCCAGGGCTTTCTCTGCACCGCGGCCCCTGTCCTGTGCTGGCTGGGTTCCTGCTCGCCTGCAGGACTGCTGCCGCCACCATCCGTGTGGGTGCTCCTTCCAGAAGCCCCAGGCTGGGGACGACGGGGCCCATGGAGAGATCCCTGGCAGCTGCTCATGCACTCTTGCTCCGAGGCAAAGTTATTGGCATTGCCATGGCAGCCGCCATACCAGAAGCGGTTACATTGGCCCACAGAGGCAACGAAGTACCAGCGGGCAGCCCAGTCTGCGCAAGAGCCATGGGCACTGGGCAGCAGGCACCGCACGGGGTAGGCTGCAGGGCATGGGTGTGATATAAGTCACTGAGGTGCCCAGTACTAAAGCTGCACCCTCCATCCTCTCAGCCTCCGACTCAGGAAGCAGGCCCTTCCCCACTTATAAAGCATGTCTACACCCCTGTCTGGGGGCCTGACCTGGCCCTGGGATCCAGGATGCTTCCACCAGAGTCTGTCCACTGTGCAGACCTGCCCCCGGCTGGTGCCACAGCAGCCTTCACCCACAGAGCTAGAGCCTCTGGGAGGTCAGGGCCAGGGCTCCCTGGGCCGGCTCCCTTGGACCTTTGGCCTTCCCTGCCACCAGACCACCTGAAGTCACATGCAAAGTGAGCCCAGAGGGTGACCCTGCCTGCTTAGCTTGTGATAGGGACACAGACCTGAGCCACCCAGGGCGTGTGAAGATGCCCAGCAAGGGCATGCCCTTGTCCCCAGGATGCTGCACTGACTGGCCACTGAGCCCACCTCCAGCACCCAGCCTGCCATTCCAGCAGCCCTCGCCAGCATGGCCTGACCCATCTCTCCACATTTAGACATGACCATGGGTGCCTCCTGCGAGCCCTGACCACAGCCCTAGCCCGGCTTTTGAGGTCCTCGTGATGGTTCCCAGCAGCTCTACTCATTCATCCAGGGCTGCAACCTCAAAGACCTCCCTGACCCCTACCCTCCCTCCAGCACTCAGCTCCTGCTACTCCACCCACATTCCAGGCAGGGTCAGGGCACCCCTGCCCATCCCGGCACTAACTGCCCTGCACTGGCTCTGCCTCAGAAGGGGCTGACTCCCAAGCACGAGACTGCCTCCCAGGCCCTTGGGATCCCCACCTCCCACCCTCCCCAGTTCCCAGAAGCAGCCAGAAGGCCACAGGTTCAAACTGCTGGATGCGAGAACACTCTGGCACTGCTCTCTGGCCTGGCACCTAGCAGGCAATCAACATTTGTGGTAGGAATGAATGAATAACTGAGCTGGTAGGAAGGTCTTTGGTCCTGGGTGGGGGCTGGAGGCATGGTGGGAGCAGAGTCTACCCATCGAGAAGGAGGAGAGGGGGTGTCCACTCACCATGGCTGGGCTGGCCCACACAGCCTTCCCCAAGAGGACCGGCTGCAGTGGCCACGTTGTCATAGCAACAGCCAAACTGGGAGCCCCGGCACTCACTGGGCTCATTCTGCTGGGCCTGGGGCTGGTGGGTGTTGTGGACCTGGGGAGGAAACCCATGATTGGGAAGTGGGCAGTGGATCTGGCCATTGTTGGGGACTCTGGGCTGCCACGGGGAGGATGGCAGGAAGGAGGGGCCAGAACCCCAGCCCAGGGGAGACCAGAGGCCAGGAGAATGTTGGATGAAACCCCTGATCCACCCCAGGCCCATCTTTGAAGCCCGGTGCCCTCCAGAGGATGACCCAGGCCAGCAGATTTGCAGGGACCTCCTTTCTCCGAGGCCAAAGCGGCAAAGATCCTGGGTCACAGTGACACTGAGCAGGCTCACGGGCTGGCCCCCTGCTCCCCTCCCCCAGGCCAGACACTTACTGTAGAAGCCACTGCCCTTGACCTGGGCATGCCCCCGGTGCTGTCACCACCATACGACTTTGTGCAGCCAGCGTGATGGGGCCCCTCAGCGACAGATACCCTGTCAGGGCAGCACCCGTACCTAGGCAGACATCACACAGCCCCTCACTGCCCAGCCTGCCCCCACGCTCCCTGCATCCCAGGACCCAGGCTCTGAGGCTCCCCATGGTGGGGGCTGACAGGGTGGGGACCTGGGGGGGAGAGGACGTGTCCCCGTGTGCAGGGCAGGCCATTTTGTGTGCCGCAATCTCTGCCTAAATCCACCGACTCTTAGCAGCTACCAGGGAGGGCAGCCGTAACACAATAAATGGTGGCTGTACCCCTCATAACTGGCAGAGCCTCAGTTGCACAGCCCACAAAACAAAGAAGGGGGATGTTCATCTGAGCCTGACCAAATGTCAGTTCACAGCGGGGGTTACAAAACAGCAGCAGATGGGAGACAGGGCAGAAGAGGGGGTTCAAAGGAACCCACCATTTACTCCACACCCACCCACCAGGTGCCACGAGGCAAGGTGAAAGGAGGGAGGGTGCCCGGCGCCCTCTCTGTGCCAGGCATGCTGTGATGCACTTCACCCTCACAGGAACCCCATCACGATTGTCATCATTCCCATTTCTCAGAAGAGGAACCCAAAATCAGAGAGGTTAAGTCACGTGGCCCAAGTCACCCAGCACATAGCCGGTGAGTGTCTGAGCTGGGAACTGCCCCCAGGCTACTGGCCACAAAGTCTGGGCCCAGAAGCACCTGGTCTCTGAGACAGCACACTGGGGATGCGTTCAGGGCAGGCCATAGAAGGAGGAGGGGCAGAGGGAGGGCACCTGGCAGGAGTGGGATGACTCGGACCCATTCCATAAGGCGGGAGTGGCCGGGGCTGTTAGGAAGATTGTGAGGAGTTGGTTGGCCCTCGTCTAGCCTTTACCGTGAGTTCCCTGAGCCTGGTTAGATCTGAGAGCTAGAATCGCACCCAGAGCCTTCTCGGAGTCTCAGGCTGTGTTTCCACACGCTGACACTCTGCAGTAAGGTGGGGGTTTGTGTCCCCACTTGGCACATCAAGAAACTCAGCCACAGGAAGCCAAGTCCCCAAGATCTCATGCTCAGGGCAGCCCAGGGAGGAAAGCTTGGGCATCCTATTCCTGAGCTCTGCACACCCACCCCAGCCCTCTTCTGATCAGAGATGTTGGCCCACCCACGGGGTCCCACCTTCCCTCTTTGACGGGGGAGGAGGAAGACCTGTCTCCAGCACCCACCTGCTCTGCTGACAGGGGGCCCCAGGGCAGCCTTGCCACTGAGGCCCGAGAGATGCCGTGTGGCCATCGGGGCAGCACCCGTGAGGACTGTGTCTGCAGTCGTGGGGCCCTGAGCCCGACCGCAGGGGTTGCTGGTATGGGGGCTGCTGCAGAGAGGGAGCGGGGCCCAGGGCTGACAGGTGGGTGCCTTGGTCGCCCCTGGGGTCACCTCGTTCTCCCCTGTGGTCACCCCTGGCTGAGGGGTGTTCCTGGGCTGCCCACCACTGGCCTCTGGAGTCTAGAAAGAAGAAGCAAAAGACACACAGTGCGTCCACCTGGCTCCTCCCCTCCACCCCTGTCCACGTTGGACCCACCTTCCTCCGTCCCCTGGACCATTCTCCCTTCCACCATGGCTGCACCCAACTGTGACCCCCACACCCCCATGTACCATCCACTCAGACACAAAAACTACAGGGCTCTGAGTGGGGGACGGGACCAGGCTCTCACCTGAGGCAGGGGACTCCTGAGGGCCCAACGGCATCCAGGGGTTGCTGGCAGGGGTGTGCACATCCTGCATGCTGGGGACCTCTGCAGGGAGCCGGGAGGTCCATGTGGGACGGAGAGGGAGGAAGAGAGGATGGACCTGAGCTGTGGCCAGCCCTGCCCAGCACTGGCTTCTACCCCACTGCCCAGGCAGGGCCTGGGAACCCGAGACAGCCCAAGGGAAAAGGAGCATGACCCAGGATTTCAAAAAATGCCCAGCCACTCTTCAAAAGTCTCCAGTCACACAGAAAATGCTCATCTTTTTTGAGACAGGGTCTCTGTCGCCCAGGCTGAGATGCAGTAGGGTGATCATGGCTCACTAAAGCCTCAACCTCCTGGGTTCAAGTGATCCTCCCACTTCAGCCCCCTGAGTAGCTGGGACTACTTTTTTTTTTTTTTTTTTTTAGAGATAGGGTCTTTCTATATTGCCCAGGCTTGTCTCAAACTCCTGGGCTCAAGTGATCCTCCTGACTCAGCCTCCCAAAATGCTGGGATTATGGGTGTGAGCCACTGCACCTAGCATGAAAAATGCTAATCTTACATGTTCAGCAAAAAGTACCAGCTATAAAATGTGCACGTGTTATGATCCCAGCCACATAAAACAAAAAACAGAACATACTTTTTTAAAAAATTGGACTGATGAAAGGCAAACAATCCAATTAAAAAGTGGGTAAAGAACTTACGCATTTCTCCAAAGATGATATGCAAATGGCCAACAAACACGTAAAAAGATACTCAACATCATTAGTCATCAGGGAAATGCAAATCAAAACCACAATGAGGTCCTGCTTCCCACCCACTAGGATGTCTATAATCAAAGAGATTGAAATAATGCGCTAAATACCACCAACCTGTACACTTTAAAAGGGTTAACTGAATGTAAATTTCACCTCCATAAAAAAATTCCATATTTAAAAAAATTGGATGAATAGACAAAGGGATAGAAAGACACTAGATAATGAGCGAAGCACGGGCTCCCGCCCGCAATCCCAGCACTTTGGGAGGCCGAGGCAGGAGGATCACTTGAGGTCAGGAGTTTCGAGACCAGCCTGGCCAACATGGTGAAACCCCATCTCTACTGAAAATACAAAAATTAGCTGGGCGCAGTAGCACACACCTGTAATCCCAGCTACTCAGGACGCTAAGGCAGGAGAATCGCTTGAACCTGGGAGGCAGAGGTTGCAGTGAGCCGAGATCGCGCCACTGCACTCCAAACTGGGCGACAGAGCGAGACTAGGTCTCAAAAAAAAAAAAAAAAAAAAAAAAAAAAGAAGAAAGAGACTAGATAATGAAAACACAAATATAGCCAAATACTAGTTGTGGGATTGAGATAGTGTGTACATGGCTGCTCACTATGCATTTCTTTCAACTTTTTGGCATGTTTAAAGTTTCTATCATATTGTTCAACTTGTAAATTTACAAAAAATCATTGTGCCATTAGAATGGGTGGTTTTTAGGGTATATGGAATTATTTAAACAACATCCCTAAAATTTTCAAAAAGATTTTTCGTCACAAAATATTGTTGGAAAATGCAAATGGATAAGTAGATAAAATTAGGACAATAAGAATTTTTTTTTAATGCTACATAAGAGAAAACCTGTAGGACCCCCCCTGAAATAATGCCCATAGTGAAAGTTGCTCTGAGTGCTTGGGAGGCAGGGTGCCCTTCCCTTCTATTTGCGTGCTTCAAATTTTCCAAAATAAGCATATTACTATATAATGGAAGAAAGTTATAAAGAATAAAATAAGTGGGCCAGGCACAGTGGCTCACACCTGTAATCCCAGCACTTTGAGAGGCTAAGGTGAGAGGATTGCCTGAGCCCAGGAGATGAAGACCGGCCTGGACAACATAACAAGAGCCCATCTCAACAAAAAATCAAAAAATTAGCTGGGCATGGTGGCCTGCACCTGTGATCTCAGCTACACAGGAGGCTGATGTGGGAGGAGCCCTTGAGCCCAGAACGTGGAGGCTGCAGTGATCTATAATTGTACCATTGCACTGCAGCCTGGGCAACAGAGACCCTGTCTCAAAATAATAATAAAGTAAATTAATATTCCATTCCCACATGGACTACATCTTGCCAATCCCTAGAAATATTTACTTATTTTATTATTTTTTTTTTTAATCTTTTTATTTTTGAGATAGAATCTTGCTCTGTCACCCAGGCTGGAGTTACAGGGTTGCGATCTCAGCTCACTGCAACCTCCACCTCCCAGGTTCAAGTGATTCTCCTGTCTCAGCCTCCTGAGTAGCTGGGATTACAGGCACAGGCCACTGCACCCAGCTAATATTTGTATTTTTAGTAGAGAAGGGGTTTTGCCATGTTGGTCCTGAACTCCTGAGCTCAAGTGATCTGCCTCCCAAAGTGCTGGGATTACAGGCATGAGCAGTTGCATCCAGCCCCCAGGGATATTTAAAACAATAATTTGGGGTTGGAAGACTCCAACAGATATGTGGTAAAATCTATTTCTTTTTTTTTTTTTTTTTTTGAGACAGAGTCTCACTCTTGTTGCTCAGGTTGGAGTTCAATGGCGTGATCTCGGCTCACTGCAACCTCGGCCTGCCAGGTTCAAGCAATTCTCCTGCCTCAGCCTCCCAAGTAACTGGGATTACAGGCACCTGCCACAACGCCCAGCTAATTTTTTGTATTTTTAGTAGAGACGGGATTTCACAATGTTGGCCAGGCGGGTCTCGAACTCCTGGTTTCAAGTGGTCCTCCCACCTCAGCCTCCCAAAGTGCTGGGATTACAGACTGGGATTAATCCTCACCTGGCCCTTTTTCTTCCTTTCTATATGGGTCCTGCTAGTCCCTGGGACAGGCTTAAGATCACCTCTTTTAGAAGCCAACAAGGCCCTGGGGAACAGACTGGCTCCATGGAGAGCTGGACCCCTGGGAGTCCAAGGCTCTCCTGCTGGTGAGCCCCAAGGACCAGGCCCCAGCTGAGGCACCAGGGGCCCTCCGGATGGCCGAGCTCCCCCACAAGGCCTCACCACCACCCCTTCCACCCTCTGCTTAGCTAGCAAGCACCCCATGCGGTCAGGCGTTGTGCTGCATGACCACCACGGTCTGGAAAGTCGCTCTTTTTAACCCCACTGTGCAGATGGGCAAACTGAGAATCAGAGAGGTGGGGCACTTGCCCAAGGCCACACAACTGGTCAGCAACGGAGTGGATCGGAACCCAAGCCTGCTGTTGACTCTGAGGCCACTGGTTCTTAGCCACACCTGTCACATGTCTCATAGAAATTCTGCCTTCCTTCATCTCAAGGTCCCTACAGCTCATAGAGTCCCCATCACGAGTGAGTCAAGGCCAAACATGCCTCCCTGCAGTATTGGGAGGCTACCCACCCACCCCCATCCCCAGCTCACCACAACCCACACCCTTCCTCAATGTGGCATCCTCACACCACGCAAACACTGGCCTCAGTGCCCTTTCTCCAGCAGGCCCTCATGCTTGTGAGGCTCCTTTCACAGTGGGATGGGGATGAAGGGAAGAAGACAGAGGCAGAAGTGGCATGTGGAGACACTCCTTCCTGGACTGCCTCCTTCCCTCAGCACACAGTCAGTCACTCAGTCATTCAACAGACATTCACTGAGTACCTAACTGTGTCAGGTAAGTTCTATGGGGGTATAAAGAGGAATATGGAAGTTGGGGACCCAGTCCTCAAGAAGCTTATAGTGGGTAGGTCTGACAAGCCGTATACAACCACAGCAGCACAAGGAAATGAATCTAAGGGTCCCACAGAAATGACAGCATGCTATGGGGGCCAGAGGGGCAGGGGCATGCTACCGCTGAGTGGAGGAAAGCAGGGCTGCCTGGTGGGCTGCACACCAGGTGGGCCTTAGAGATGGCAAAGGGTTCAGCGGGGGGAGACATGGGAGAAGTGGGGTCCAGAGGGATGACACAGTGCAGGCAGAGGCCCCGAGGCAGGACATGCTTGCTGGGTTTGTAGCGAGTGGGAGAGAGGTCAGAGGCCGGACTCCTCCCTGCCCTCCTGTCCTTACCCTGGGGGAGATGACAGGGCTGCGTGTTACAAGGCTCCACATCCACAGGCTTGGAGTGCTGCAGGCTCCCGCAGTGGCTGGGCGGCCCAATGGCACAGATGACCTGTCGCCTCCGAGTGCCCGAGCTGCAGCTCTTGGAGCACTGAGGCCCACGAGTGGGAGAGAGAGAGATGCTGAGGGCGAGGCTGGGGGCGGGGACCCACATGGAGAGAGGCAGGGGAAGGTGCCCAGTGGCGCGTGTCAGGTCCAAGGACGGCGCTCGGGTGCAGCCACCTGCCAGAGACCAGGGTCAGGCAGCAGGTGTGGGGGTGGAGAGCACTCACTAGACCCCAGGTGCCAACATGCCAGGCCTGGTCACTGAGGAGGGGGCAGTCCTCATGCACACAGGGCTCAGTCAGAGGTGGCCGGTCTTCCAAGGAGCACGCTGCGGTATGGAGCAAAGAACCCCTTTCACCCCGGCAAGTAACGCTCCGCTTCCGGACGCCAACGCCACAACTGACAGAACACTGCAAGGACAAGGCTGTCAGCAGAAGCTCGGCCTTGCCCCCAGGAGCCACGCCAGTTCGGACAGCTAGCGGCCCACCAGCCTGGTGTGGAGGCAGATAGCACCCAACTGCCCATGTCCTTCCCAGGCCCAGAGAGGCTGACTCACTCCCCTGAGGTCACACAGCCTGAACCATGGCTACTGACAACAGACTGAGGTTGTCACCCATTTGTATTTTCCATCCATTTGCAACTTGAATATACGTAGGTGCTAGAAGCAATGACTGGCAGCCTAGACACTTCCAGCTCCTCCCTTGCCCCCAAACAACACACCAGCTTCTTCCTGCCCAGGCCTTTCCTGCCCTGCCCTGGGATCCTGGAGAAAAAGGAAGAGCCCTGGACCACTCATCCAGACACTTGCTTCTGGTCCCAGCCTTGGCCACAGCTTCCAAGATGACCTGACCGGTTATTTTACCTCCCAGGACCTCGGTTTCCACAGCAGAGAACAAGACCCCAGCCCTTCCCTGCTGCTACCCAGGTCCAGCACCAGCCCCATGCGGGCCAGGGGCCTGACCTCTCCCCAGGGCTCCGGGCTCCAGGCTGCACAGCGCTGCAGGTTACAGGCCTGAATGGCAGGGGGCTTCCCAGGCAGCCCGGCACACTCAGCCTCCTCCACGGCCTCCTGGATGCCGGCCCCGTCAGACGAGATGCAGTACACGGAGCGGGACTGGGAGCCTCCTCCACAGGAGGCTGAGCAGGGTGCCCATGGCCCTGCCTTCCAGCTGGCAGGAGGGGGAATCAGGTAAGGCTGGCCCAGGAGCATGGGCAGAAACCCAGCCCTGAGGGTTTCTGCCCTCACTCACACAGGTGGCCTGAGGACCCCCACCCCAGCCCATCCTCTGAGCCTCCAGCCTGAACAAAGGCTACGACCCAGGCGCTCCTTAGCATCCCCACCACCGGGCCTGGCTCTCTGAGCGCTCCCCACAACTCGGGGCCCTGCGCCTCCCCCTTGGCTTTCCTGTCCTCAACCCTATCCCCCTTTCTCCTTCCCACCAGGTCCCTGTCTCCCAGTCAGACTCCATTCCTCTCGGTCTGACCTTAGTCAAGGGGCAGCTCCTGGAGAGGCTGTGCTCACCCATGCGTGGAGCGGCTCTGCCAGGCCCCGGGTGCAAGGACCCAGAGGAAAGAGCAGCCCTGTGGCCCCATGCAAAGCCAAGTCCGCCACCATCCCAGGAGGCCCGCTGCCACCAAGGCCAAGCGGTGACAGGGTGGCACCAGCCCTGCGGGGAGCCTGTGACCTGCAGGTTACCTGTTCCCACACACTCGCTGGGCCCCAGCAAGGCGCCACGCTCCAGGCCGGTGCAGGTAAGAGGTCCTTTGTGCACGAACAAAGCCATGGCCGATGCCAACAGGCCCTTTGGCCTGACCCCTGGCCCACCCCTTGGCATCTGCCAAGCCAAACCCTCTGCTGGCTCAGACAGACAGGGACCTCTGGAACCTTCTCCAACCCTCCTGCCACCAAGCCTAGGTGTTCTGAGTACTTCGTGGTCACAGGAGAGCAGAGAGACCAGCCCCGGGCTCAGGCCTATTCTCTGCCTCCCCCAGGAAGAGCTGCCACCTCTCCCACACCCCAGCCACAGCGTGGGGGGCCCTGGACCCCCACCTCTTTGTTCTACACCTAAAGCAGCTTGGAGGCCTTGTTCCCTTCCCACCCAAGTTCTTGGGCCTCATCATGGGTAGAGGGGCTGGCAAGGTCTCACCGCTTGGTCTCCGGGCAAGGGTGAAGATTGCAGGAACGCCGGTCAGCTGGCCGTGGCTGGCGCTGGCACATGTGGTCGGGGTAGGCCTCATGGTCGATGGTGCAGAACACCAGGCGGGACTGGTGACCTGCGCAGAGGCCCAGCCATGGCGGGCAGACGCCAGTCAACATTCACCAAGCGCGTTCCCTGGGCCAGGCGCCATCCTGCACTCACCCCACAGGTCATCCCCATTCAGTCTTAGATGACCCCCCCGAGGCAGGTGCCACCACATCTCCAATTGGCAGATGAGGAAACTGAGGCTCTGAGGGTTTTTGCTGTGAGAGAGCCCTACTCTGGCACCTGATCACTGACCCCAGGCCCAGCTCCGGTCCTGAGGGAGTCTGTCTCCTATGAGATGCCGCTGACTCTGGGAAGCCCCCTCTGGTTCTATTCGCTTAGGCTGGGGTCCTTCATGGAGTCCCCCAGATCCCTGGGTTTTCCTCAAAGCGACCCCCATAACACAGAGATTTCTCGCCTACTTGTCCATCTCCCCAGGAGGGACTGCCTTGAGGAGAGGGCTGTGACTTGCCCACCTGTGGCCGTGGGATCCAGCACACAGGGCCCATGCCCTCCCCTGGGCCATCCACGCCCGCACCTCCGCCACACTCCGCGCTGCAGTCACTCCATGAGCCGTGGCTCCAGCTGAAGCCGGGGCTGGGGCGGCGCAGGGGCAGGTGGTACTCATAGTGCACACCGGGGTTGGGCTCCTGGCTGATGAGCTGTCACGGGAGAGTCCTTGTTGGGGTCTGCTGCTGGGGAGCACTCCCACACCCTCCGCAGCCTCACAGCCCCCTGCCAGCCTCAAGCCCAGAGCCACTCAACCCCCCATGTACAGAGCTTGGCAGCCTCTTGGGGACCACGAGCTGCCCACTCGCCCTCTCTCCCCACACCCCCATTTACCTCGATGACCAGGGGCTCCGAGGTGGGGCCCCGGGCATGGAGTCGCTCAGGGGCCAGGTCCCCCTCAGCACCCCGCTCGTAATGCAGGATGGTGCTGGCTGCTGGCAGGGCCCGGGCCGCCTCGATGGTCCAGTGCCCATTGAGGTAGTATTCCCCACGAACATTCTTCACAGCTGCGCAGAGGAGACCGCCTCAGTCAGCCAGAGGGAGCAGTGCCGCACCTCCCCCTGCAGCCCCAGACCTGCCTAGGACCTAACCCTAGGCTCTCACCCAGGAAGTTCCTGCTGGCAGCAGCCTCGTCGATGAGGATGCTGGTGGCACCCATGGGAACTATGAGGATCTGGTTGTAGCCTGGGGGCAGAGACGCAGGTGCTGGGTGTGCTGGGCTATCCCTCTCCCGGCACCACTCAAACAGGACTCCAAGTGCCACACAGCACAGAATGGGGGCAGGGAGGGTACACAAGAGCCAGACAGGGCCGAGCTGCTGGGAAAGGCAACCCTGGCAGAAGAGGCCGCAGTACAAAAGCCAGGGTGGCGGGAAGGCTCAGGGCACCCGGAGCACACTGGGAGTGGGAAGGGATGGGGAGGGCATCCAGGCGGTGGCAGCAGGAGATGGGACTGCACGAGCGGGCACGAGTCCTAACCAAAGGCCACAGGGGGCCTTTCAGATGTGACCTGATATGATCAGAGCCTTCCAGTGCCATGAGGGCCACTTGGCCTGGAGTCTAGGCCAGAGCAGGGACAGGCAAGGAAGGGACAGGCAAGGAAGGGGGCAGGCAACTGCCCCTTGTCGGAACCACCCCCACCTCGGCTGAGGTCATTAGCGTCAAAGGTGCCTGCGACGGGGTAGCAGGTCGTGCCGTCACCCCCACACCGCAGACACTTGTCCTCCTGCTTGGACGAGTCCAGCTCGTGATCACAGCCGACAACCTGTGGGCAGAGATGCGGGAGGCAGGGGAGACGGCATCATGGCCACATCAGGCCTTGGGCCCCGTCGCATCCTAACCCCAGCACCCACGCAGCCCAGGCAGGATAGGGTGGTCGGGAGTGATTCAGCCACCAGCCAGGGGACTGGCCTGTGGCTGACAATCCACTTCTCTGTCTGCTCAGCTCCCATCTCCCCTTCTGGTAATAATGCCCTGTTTTCCTTGAGGGGCCACCTCTCTCCCGCAGAGTTTGAACGGAGCTCCCCAAATGTGGGTTTGGGGAGGTTGGAGTGGTTCAGGGTAAGTCCCAAACCAAGACGAATCAGAGACAACCCCCGGTGGCTAGAACTCCTGGGAATGAGGCCCCCTTTCCCTGGGAATTCCCTTTCTAGGGAGCAGAAGGTCGGAGCAGCTGGCGGCCACCTCCACACCTCCTGGGAAGAATGGGCCAGATCCTGATGCTGGACCCAAGGAGAGGAAAGCCGAGTGGCACCTCATTCATGCGCCTGCGGCTGTCCCTGCTGTTTGTTTTTCTGAAGTCGGTTTTAGCCGGATTTCTGCCACCCAGAGGGTTTCTCTTATTGTAGGGCTAGCGTTCTCCAAGGATGAAGGTGAGGGGCCATAGGGCATCTGTGATGCCTGCAAGGTACCCTAGGAGCTGGGCTTGGTGTCCTGGTAACTTGAGAAGACACCAAGCTCATGGCAGCTACCTGGGCCTATGGGTGATGGACAGGGAAACACCCGCACTGAGCCCCCAGGCAGCCCGGAGGCAGGGAGGGGCTGGGGCACCACTCACCCGGCAGCTGCCATCCACACAGACATCCCTCTTGCCAGGCTCGCAGGGCGTCCCATCAACCACAGCCTCCCTGTGCTTGTAGTAGAAGTTCTCCCCCTTGGGAATGCAGTTCAGTTCACACTTGTTTGGGGCTGGGGTGGGCAGGAAGGCAAGACTGAGATCCTGAGGTTGATGATGCCCCTCCCCAAGACCCAAGGCTTACCCTAGCAACAGGAAAGCATGGGTCAGAAAGCCCTGCAGCAGGCCCCGCAGAGCACAGATCCCCGCCCCATCCCCAGGAGAAGGGACCGTCTCCATGAATCTGTTGCACCTCTAAGGATCAAGTCGAAGAAAAATCCCAGAATCAGGAAAAAGTGAAACACTTAAAGAAGTCTACCTCAGCATTATTTACCACAGCTGAGGTGGTTACAACAGGCTACTTTTTTTTTTTTTTTTTTTTTGAGGTGGAGTCTCGCTCTTGTTGCCCAGGCTGGAGTGCAGTGGCACGATCTCGACTCACTGCAACCTCCGCCTCCCTAGTTTAAGCAATTCTCCTGCCTCAGCCCCCCTAGTAGCCGGGACTACAGGCACGCGCCACCACACCCGGCTAAGTTTTGTACTTTTAGTAGAGATGGGGTTTCACCATGTTGGGCAGGCTGGTCTCGAACTCCTGACCTCAGGTGATCCACCTGCCTCAGCCTCCCAAAGTGCTGGGATTACAGGTGTAAACCACTGTGCATGGCCATAACAGGCTACTCTTTAAATAAATTATCAATGGAATATTACACATGCTGACTATGCAGTTACAAATGATGATTGTGAAGACTATATGGTGTGGGAAGATGCTTAAAACACAGAATGCAAAATGGTGATTACTATGCAATAATTACAAATATGTAAGCATATATGGAGAGAATAATGTGAAAGGGGCTAAAATGAAATGCTAACAGTGATCTTGTGAAAGGGGCAGGATGAGGATAACTTTTTTCTGGTTTTAATGTTTTTCAGATGGGATCTCACTCTGTCTCCCAGGCTGGAATGCAGAGGCACGATCAAAGCTCACAGCAGCCTCTACCTCCGAGACTCAAGTGGTCCTCCAGCCTCAGTCTCTCGAATAGTTGGGACTATAGGCACATGCCATCATACCCAGCTAATTTTTTTATTTTTTGTAGAGACAGGGTCTCACTACGATACCCAGGCTGGTTTCAAACTCCTGGGCTCAAATGATCCTCCTGCCTCAGCCTTCCAAAGCACCAGGATTACAAGCAGGAGCCACTGTACCTGGCCTGGTTTTAATTTTTTTTTCTTCTTTTGGAGACAAGATCTCACTCTGTCGTCCGGGCTGGAGTGCAGTGGTGTGATCTTGACTCACTGCAGCCTCAACTTCCTGGGCTCAAGTGATCCTCCCACCTCAGCTTCTCGAATAGCTGGGACTACATGGGTGTGCAACCATGCCTAGCTAATCTTTGTATGCCTGGCTAATCTTCGTATTTTTGGTAGAGATGGGGTTTCACACATTGCCCAGGCTTGTCTCAAATTCCTGGACTCAAGTGATCCTCCTGCCTCAGCCTCCCAAAGTGCTGGGATTACGGGCATGAGCCACTGTACCCTACCTTAATTTTTATATTTATCTAAATATATACACATTTTAAAACAACCCAAAAGTACAAACAGGATTATAATCATCTCCATACCATGGAAGGTATCCCTCTACTCTCTTTTTAGACTTTCCCCTGTGTTCCAATTTTTCTATCATGTGACTATAATCAAATTATTTTTGACATGTGTCCACTTCAGGATCCAGGGGGAATTCTGAAAGCTAGAGTCCCACTGGGTCACGCCCACAGCCACAATCCCCACAACACACACACACACACACACACACATAGAGGATATGAGACTCCCACTGGGCCATGCCCACAGCCACAATCCCCACAACACACACAGACACACACACACACACACAGAGGATATGAGACTCCCACTGGGCCATGCCCACAGCCACGATCCCCACAACACACACACGCGCACACACACACACACACACACACACACACAC